>NC_000002.12:5161515-5464545 GCF_000001405.40 Homo sapiens | reverse complement strand
TCACTAAAAGGCCACCTTAATGACTTATCGTGAAGGACAAATTAAATAAAGATCCTTAACTTTTAAATCTTATCTATAGATGATTGCACACTCCCCTTGCTGAACGAAGATGAACTTTCTGATGTGTATGACTGCAGATTCCCCTTTGCAGATGCCTTTTCTACCCCGCTAAGGCCCTTCATCCTCATACCATCCTAAATGGTCTAGTGCCTGCTAGGAGACCTGAGCCCTGAGCGCCAGGTTTAAAGGAACTGGGAAGAAGCACTAGATTTTCTTTTTTAAGAAGCGGGGTCTCACCCTGTCACCCAGGCTGGAGTGCAGTGGCTCAATCATAGCTCACTATAGCCTTGAACTCCTGGACTCAAAGGATCCTGTCATCTGAGCCTGCCAAGTAGCTGGGACTACAGGCCGGCACCACTGTACTCAGCTTATAAAGAGAATTTGAAAAGATTTGACCACATAGAGGATGGGAGTGAAAGTAAAGATGTACTTGGTTACTACTTTGTATAGTGCCTGGAAGTCCTGTCGGGTTTTTATTTTGCTGTTTTTTTTCCCCTGTATGTGAAACTTCTCTTCCTTTCCTTCTTATAGTCACAAGCCTTCATTCTCTTATGCCAAGATTACCATGTGCATCCTGACTCTCTCCCTTCTTCTGGGCTCATTTGTATCTGAAACATTTTACCCACTGAAGCCAGAAGGAATAATCTGAACATAAAATAGTTTATGTCTCCTCCTTAAACTCTTAAAGCTTAAATGAGTCTACACTGTCTAGAAGTTGAGGTCCTCAGTCATGCTGGTTTCTAACCTTATTTGCAAGTATCATCCATAAAACCCTCTGGTTTGTATTCCTGAGCACCACGCACCTTGTTTTCTGCCAGTTTCAAACAGGAATAATGGGCACATTTTGATTGGCTGCCATTCTAAGGCTTTTCTAACCTTTGGTAGCCCTATCCCGTGCAACTTGCTCCCTGCCCCTTTCCCAGACTTTCCTGCCCTGGTACCCTTGCCTCCTCAAACCCAGGTTTCCATTGCTGACCTCACATGTCTTTGGCATTGGTGATGTGCCTTTTATCTTGAGTGTTGATTTACTTTTCCTAAGCACAGTTTCTATCTCCTCAATAAAATTGTCATCTCCTTAAGAGCAGGAATCCTGCTCTAGTTTAATTCCATTTGTTCAAAAACACAAAAGCATTTACAGGGTGTCAAATGTTCAGCTGGGTTATAACAAAGTAAAGATCAGTAGAAAAACAAATGTACATCACCAACATCAAAACTACCCAGCGATATAATTAAACTTGCAAGAAACGTTCGGGGCAATTTATTTGTCCAAGCTCTAGACACAATAACTACTTGATTATTGGTGACGGGGATTGAGACTTTCAATGAAATATTTTCTCATGATAATAGTTTTACTTTGGAGAACATGTTTGAGATTCAAAAGTTAATATTAAGAAAATGAATAATTGCCTGGACAGGTGTCTCAGAAACTAAACATTTTATGTGTAGATAAAATATATGCAAATGTTTTCTTAAAGGTCACATTACAAAGTATTGCATGAGCAAAAGAAGTTTAATGCTACAATCACCTCGCCTGCAGATTTGCCGTGGTGTATTAGATCTTGCTGTAAGTAGCTGATTGCACGGGTATTTTGGGTAGCATCAACAGACCAACTTGCTAAGAGTATCTCCCCTGTTATATCTTCTTTAGTGAACTCTCACAAGGCCTGAGATTCCTATCTTTGGAGTCTCTTCCTCCTGTTACATTGCAGATATGTTACAGGGAAAAAGTGTCTTGCCTATGTCCCATTAGCAGTTTTTGTTTCTCAGGCTGAATCTGGGAATCAGAAGAGGAAGAGAAGTTAAAGCCTGATAAGATGGCACCTTGGGGTTTCACAGGCCAGGAGGGGAGACTCAGGTAAAGCAGTAGCAAGGGAGAAAGAGGAGACTATTTGGATTCAGGGAGCACAGAAGTGCTGCGCACAGCCATGCTGGAGGAGACTTGGATGGTGTGTCACAGAGAGAGAAGTGATGAGCCCCCGAAGAACACCAAATGCTGACTTCTTCTACCACAGCCTTCAGCTGAGACTAGATCCTATTTTATTTACTTACCACTTTCCTTGCATGTAGCAAAGAGTTTTTCCAAACTCATCTCACAGTAGTTGTTGAATGAAGAGATGACTGCAAGGACAAATAAACACAAGAGCCATATCTCTTACACCCCTTTACCAGTGCCCAACTTTTCCTGTTACTGACCCTAGCCCTCTGCTCATTGTTGGAGGCTGATGTCTGCCATCTTTATCCTGTCCTGTCAGATGCCACCTAAGACCCCTCCTTATACTTCCAGTCTTTTCCTTCACCACTCCCTGAATCTCACTTTGTTTCTAGCAATTCTGAAGGACTTACCACTCTGCAAATAAACTCTGTTGCCTCCCACCTTCAGCTCATCCTGGATGTTCTCTTGCACCCTCTTAGTTCGGAGCTAATGCCTCCGTCTCATCTAAGACAGGTCTTAGGTATCAGCTCTTTCAGGAAACTTTCCCGACGCTCCCCAGGTGCCAGAGAGTCCAGGCTACAGATCCCTTCTCTATGTCCAAGATCCCTCTTTATAGCTCTGTGGTTTTCTAACTGCACTGTATTGCACTTATAAATTTCTGCTTCTTCCTGTACCACTGAGAGGTCAGACTTGATGTCTTATTCATCTTGACTCCAAAGCCCTCCCAGCTACCACCCAACTTTCCTGCTCCTTTTTACAGCAAAACTCCCTGAAAGTGACACCTATACTTGCTGTCTTCACTTCTGCTCCCATTCTTCCTTGATTCGCTTCCATCGGAATTCTGACCTTCATACTTTACCAGAATGGTTCTCATCACAGACAAGAAGCGAGCCCTGGTTTTTAAATTCCACAGTGAGTTCTCCATATTTAAATCACTGTCTTTCAGGAAAGGTTGGCACAGTTGGTTCCTCTTTCCTCCTGGTGACTCTCAGTCCCACATGTTCTCCTTGCCTGTTCCCAGGTGGCTTTGTGGATCCCCCTCCTCTGCACCTCTCGCAGGCTGGTGGCCGCTCCTTCAGCCTCTTTTCCCACCTCCTTGTGCCTTGCCCACTCAGCTCCATATGCAGGGGCTGCTCTTTCCTGAACATGCCTCAGGGTCCTTTGGGGTCTCTGCCAAGGCTAGAGTAGTTCCCTCCTCCTGGGAAGTCCTTCTCCCACCTCCTTTAGAGTTACATGCACACAGCAGGTAATTGTCTTTGCCTCCTGGGAAAGAGAACAGGATGGAGCTGGAAAAAAGCAGAAACAAAATGAGAAGCCAGATACCCAGGTATTTAAAGAGCAAAGATAAGATACCACTTGACAGTGTGCAGCCTCCTTCAGAGCTGTTGTCCTATGCCACCCTCTCCATGCTCTAGGAGAAGCTCATGCAGGAGGAGACTGGAGCTCCAGAGTGCATGGAGGCTCACACAGGAGGCCCATGGCAGAACAGAAATGGCATCAGGGCCAGGTATGAATCCTAGCGCCCTGTCCACAGAGCTGGGACGTTGAAAATAGCTTCACAAAATGGACAGATTAAACTGATTTGCTGCTTTGCAAATTTATGTTTGAGTATCTGCTGCTGATTAGGATGATCTCCACGTCCCTTACAGAGTAATACAACTGATCATGCTACTCCACACCAGTTCATCCTTGTCCTCACTGCTCTGGACTGGCCCCAGCAACCCGGTCATGGGGTCCTTTCACCACATAACACCTCCTGTCACTCCCTCCTTGGTTTCCACATTGCCGTTTGCCCCCAGCTGGATGATAGCATGCATCTCTCTGTTTAGAGTTTTCCTTCTCATGTCCATCTTCCTCAAAGCCCTAGATAGCGATCTCCCAGTGTGGTCCCACATAAGTGTTGGGAGGGCTGCCTGAAAATCCGTCAGTAGGAATGCCATTAAAGACCCTTCATTGAGGTTGGGCACGGTGGTGGCTCACGCCTGTAATTCCAGCACTTTGGGACGCTGAGGCATGTGGGTCTCTTGAGGTCAGGAGTTCGAGACCAGCCTGGCCAACATGGTGAAACCCCATCTTTACTAACAATCCTAAAAACATTAGCCAGGCATGGTGGTGTATGCCTGTAATCCAAGCTACTTGGGAGGCTGAGGCAGGAGAATCACTTGAACCTGGGAAGCAGAGGTTGCTGTGAGCTGAGATCGAGCCATTGCACTCCAGCCTGGGTGACAGAGCAAGACTCTATCTCAAAAACAACAATAACAACAACAAAAACCCTTCACTGAGGCTCTAGGCTGATACTCTGGGCTGTCCTGACAAGCATTTCTCTGTTTGTTCTCTTGGGCAGCAGACACCTAAGCAGGTGTTTTCTCCAAATGCACCTCACGTGTCCCATGGGGGATCTACTATTCTCCACCTTATCTCTCCATCCGGCACGCACCATGGATTTACTCTCTTGGCACCTGACATGATGTAAGCATTTTCTAGATTTCCCTAGGAATTTAGCATGAAATTAGGGACGGCAAATAGGTGATACATTTGCCACTCCCCACCTCCATGCCTGTGGTCAGCAAACTCCTTCCTTCTGAGCCAGTTGTGTCTTCAGAATTCTTGACATGGTGTCCAGGCAGCTGCTAGCAATCCATAAAAGTGAGCGCATGAGATGCTGCCTTCACCTAAACTGTGCCCCTTGAAAGGCTGTGCTGTCCTCTCCTTCTCCCAAGACTCGGGGAACACTTGCTGTCTCCTGGGCCTGGGATGCGCCACTCTCTCTGGAGCCTCCTTCCTGACAGCCAAGGGCTCCCTTTATTCTTGTGGAATCCTCTGTCCACCTTCCTCTTCCACTGCATTTTTCTGGTCCAGTCATCTTTGCACCTGGACTTAGCTTTGAAATGACTGCACAGTGTTTTATGCCATGGGTTAAATGAATTAATTCCTAATCAAGGAAAAGACATGTGCGGGCCTTCTGTAGCATTTCAGTGTTTTACCCTCTAGGGAATCCTGCCAGAAAGGATCTTATGATTTTCAGAAGTGCTGTGTTTAATGATAAATGCCCATTATGAAAATTAATTCTTATTCTTATTTTTTAAAAAATCTAACTTTCTTAAAACACAAACCCATTAGTAGGCTTTTTAGATTTGTTTGTTTATTTTTAAAAAGAAAGCCCTTTCTCCCTGCCCAGAGTCCACTGCAGGTAAATTCCCAGTGCTAGGTATGAATCATTCCACAGTTACCTGGTCTACCAGACACCACGTGGGTGTTCCTGCTCCCTGTTGTCTCTGCATCCGCGCTCCTGCTTCGCCTCTGCTCTTGGCCTCATCCCTCTTGGTTTTGAACCGGGACAGCTTTATGTCTCTCTGGGCTTCCAGTTGCAGCATTGACAATGCCTACATAGACTGTCTCCCTCAGAGGACCTTTTATGTGCCATGTAGGCAGATACCGTGTGCTCTCCTGCTTGGTTCCCAAGTGGGGCTCTCACAGACTTCAGTGGGAAGTTCACTGGGGGACTTGGGCAATGATGGGGAAAGAAAGGGAAGAAATTCACACCTCCAGGAGGAATGGAAATGGAATACCTTGAGATGGACCTTTCAGAAGTCTTAATTCTGCCTGCCTTATGACTTGAACAGCCTCCCCTCTGATGGAATGGACAGTAGGGCTGGAAGTGGAGCAGGGAACAGGAAGGTGAGTCGAGGTCTGGGAAAGAGTAAAGTGCAGTAGGAAGCTCTGGGAATTGGAGTCTGATGCCTGTGTTGAATGTCAGCTCTTTTGCTCACCGTCTTAAACATTTTGTGCTTCTGTAACAGAATAAGACTGGATAAATTATAAAGAATAGAGTGTATTTTCTTAAAGCTCAGGAGGCTGGGAAGTCTAAGGTCAAGGTGTTGGTATCTGGGGAAAGCCATCCTGCTGTGTCCTCACATGGCAGAAGAGAAGAAAGGGAATTTACTCCTGCAAGCACCGCCCCCCACCTTTTTTGTTGAGACAGAGTCTCGCTCTGTCACCCAGGCTGGAGTGCAGTGGCGCGATCTCAGCTCACTGCAGCCTCTGCCTCCTGGGCTTAAGCTATTCTCTGCCTCAGCCTCCAGAGTAGTTGGGATTACAGGTGCGCACCACCATGCCCAGATAATTTTTGAATTTTTCTGTAGAGATGGGGTTTCGCCATGTTGGCCAGACTTGTCTCGAACTCCTGGCCTCAAGTGATCCACCCGCCTCGGCCTCCCGAAGTGCTGGGATTACAGGCGTGAGCCACGGTACCTGGATATTTAAAAAAAATATTCCCACACCAGTCATTGTTTCTGTAGCACACTGCTTTTCATGGCTTTTGGCGCTTTGCCTTAGAGCCTGAGATGCTACTAGGGTGAGCAGGACCTTAGAGGTGTGCTCCTCAGTGGCACAATTAGTGTGACTCTTTTTGTCGTTCCCCCCACCCGCCGGGGAATGTCTAGCCAGAGCCTAGGCCATGACATAGATACATTCAGTGACTGTCAGCAATTTGTAATCTGTAATCTGGTTCAATAGCCAGATCCTTTGTTTTGAATACTCCCCAGACTTTGAATAACATTTATTAGTTTTTCCTAGCCTTATTGAAATTTTATGAAATTTAAACAGGAAAAGAAAAACATAAAATTGCTCATAATCCCCTTACCCGCAGATAACCAGGATTAATATTGGTGTGCATTATTTTCCAGTCTTTTTCTCTGAATATATTTCACATCAAGTTTTCTCAGCTAAGATTTCATAGATTATAAGATGCATTATCATTATAATGACACTTTTTTTGGAAAAAATAAAAGGAAAAGACACAGGCACCAACTTATCTAATATAAGATGCTTTGTAAGATGCATCTCAATGTAAAAATGGTAAGACATGCATATCAGGATCAAATAAATGTAAGTATAGATCCTATGCGTCTCAAATATATCCAATTTTAGGTTCATCATTCACGTAAACACCTGTAGGACAATGGAGTGAGGTGCCCCCTCCATGACTGTGTGTGGCCTATTCTCTCCCCATTTTCCAGGTCTCTGAGAATCTCATTGTGACATCTTCATGTGCTCTAAGTCCACACTGAGGGTCACCTGCTGCCTCTGCAGGTCTCTGGCTGTAGACCATTGATCACTTCTTCTGAGCCTAATCTGCTGCTCTGTAAGCCATATAGAAACCAAACATTAAACAGTATTTCATGTGTGCCCAGCATCTCCTGCCATGCTCAGATGACTAGGAGGAAAGAAAATCCCAAAACAAGAAAGAAAGTCCAGCAAACATTTCTACCAAAGGTGATACATTTTATTTGGGGGGTTTTCAGGGATATTTTTTATTTGGAGAATGCCACATGCTACTTTTTTAGGGGGGAGAATTTTGTCTCTCTCTCCCCTCACCCCTGTTTGGTTCGTCAGGCAATGGAGTGCCTACACGCTGGTTGCTGCCTGGCTTCCTTCTGGCATATTTCTTTCAGATTTTTACCCCAAGCTGATATGAACTTAAGTCTCTGTTCCCTATTGCACTGTTAAATTCAGTGGCATCTTTCATAAAATTTCAGAAACAGAAGTGTTTCTTTCTACTTGGAATTGTTTTTACAATAAATTTGATTTGTCTGCCACCCACCTGGCTTGCTTTAAAGTTCAATCTCGGTTAGGGATTCGTCTACCTGCTCCCTTGGGCTCCCGTGAAAATCCTAGGCTTATGCAACCTAATACCTCCAGCAGTGTGTTTCCGGAAACCTTCTGAAACCCAAAGAAATGGTTCCCCGGGACAAGGAAGCCCTCAGGACATAAGCAGGGCAATGCTTACCGGAGACTGGAGGAGAGGGCTGCACTTTTCTTCCCATTCTCACGGAGTACAGAGGACAGGGGAGTTTGCAGACTGTGGCAGAGACACCTCACTGCTCATTAGACCTGGACACGAGACTGAGTTTCCGGCCGTCCTGGCTGGTGTTGGCCACTGGATGACAGTGGAAGTGAGGCCGGGCCTCCTGGCCTAGCACAGTCAGCCTGATATGTGCTTTCATGCTTCTTCCACTTCCACTGCCGAATGCAAAGGCGCTGAGACCCTCAAGGATGAAGGACCCGCAAGATGGGAGAAGCCTTGGTCATCCTGAGCAAAGACTTCCACCCAGCACAGCTGGACACCCCGGGCAGTCATGGGAGAGAGACATCCATGTGTTGACCCTCTGCGGTGACAGGGTTTATTTGTTATGCAGCTAGCATTGCCATAACAAATTCTTCTCTCAATTTCTGCACAGAATAAGCTATTCTGACATATATCATTGTTTATTTAACCTATCTGTTATTTTTAGGCCTTTTGGTTTATTGGCATTTACTTAGAAATAACACCGTAGGGCTTGGCACAGCAGCTCACACCTGTAATCCAGCACTTTAGGAGGTTGAGGTGGGAGGACTGCTTGAGGCCAGGAGTTGGAGACCAGCCTATGCAACACAGCAAGACTCTATCTCTACAAAAAAAAATTCAAAATAAGTATGAGCCAGACATGGTTGTGCACACCTGTCATCCCAGCTGCTCAGGAGGCTGAAGTGGGAGGATTGCTTGAGCCCAGGAGTTTGAGGTTACAGTAAACTATGAACGTATCACTGCACTCCAGCCTGGGTGACAGAGTAAAACCCTGTCTCTAAAAATAAATGAAGAAATAAATAAATAACACTATAATAAATATGCTTGAACAAATATCTTTTTGCATGCTTTCAGAAACCTTTAGGAGAATATGTTTTTACAAATGGAGATTTACAGTCAAAGAGTATTGAGGTTTTTAAATTTCAGTTTAATTTAAAAGGAATTAACACAATATTTTTAAAAAAATGTGCCAGTTTAGACTTCCTCAGACTATGTATGAAAATACCTGTTATATACCTATAAATGTATATCAGCAATCATTTTACTTTATGCTATGTAATAGAAAAAATATCTGTAACTTAAAAAAATGACTATTTACTATAAGTGTCATTGAGTCCTTTTTTCTTTCTTGTGTGTTTATAAGCTGTTTGTATTTCTCATATGTATTGCCTTTGCCTGTGTTTCTTGCAGGTTTTTTTTATTTGATTGTTTATATATATCTTATTGGTGTGTAGGAACTGTTTTTATTACTTATATTGTGTTTTTGTCTTTAATTTATCTCAAAAACATTGTCTCTGTGTTAAAGTATATTGTCTCCCAGTATGTCATTTTTAACTTTATTAATAATATCTCTTAACATACAGAGACAATTCTCTACACTTATCTGTATGTATATATATGCTATACAGTTTTAAATTTTATGTACACAAATTGCTGATCTATTGCTTTATGAAAGTTAGGTATTACTGCTTGCTTTAAAAGGCTATCACCACCACTCCCAATAAAGTTTATTAAAATATGTTTTCTAATTAATGAGCAGGTGTATATGTGTGTGTGTGTATGTATATATACACATTTAAACGTATGTGTGTGTACAATCCATCTTGAAAAACTATGAGAATACTTTACTGTTTTCATATATGTAGCAGATTCTATCAATATAGATCATCTTTCTTTCCTTTCTGATAGAAAATACTACATTTAGCACATACTAAATTTCCATGTTTTTCTCTATCAGTCTGTAATATTTTCATTGATCATTTGTATATTGAGTGAACAATTTTGAATCCTACTTTTAATGATTACATGCAGTTGTGTCATGTGGATGTACAATAACACATTTAGCCTATTTTCTACTTCTAAAAATTAAGTTAGACTTTTGTTATTTGCTACATGAACATCTTTGTGCATGAAACTATGAGCCGTCTCTTTTGCATTATTTCTTCAAGATTGATTCCTTGAATTAGCATGATATAAAATACCTTTTAGCCTCTTAAAACATATTTTCAACATGCTATCAGAAGGAATTTTGTGACAATTTTCGCTTCTACCAGGAGTACCTGAGGGGACCATTTTCAACACATCTTCACCAGCACTTACTACTCTTAAGAATGTTTGTCAATGGGAGACACTATTATAAAAGTTAGTTTTAATTACAAGTTTTGATTGTGAACTGATCATCTTTAAAATATAATTACTAGTGCTCAGTACCTTTACTAAAACTTAGCTCAGCGAAAAGGATGTGGCCTGTCAAAAGTTAATCCCAAAGCCTTAAATGTTCACAACGATTGTTTTAATGGGCTTGGGAAAAATAAAAACATTATTTTTTATGTTCTAATCCTAAATAATATTAAGATCTTTATCTTTCGTGTATGAAACCTCAAATAACCCTACGGTTTCTCAAGTTCTTCAGTTCTGTGGTTTCCAGCATAGCTGACCTCTGGAACTGATTCAAGTAACCAAACTTTTCTTATGGAAACTTGGCCCTTCTCTGCCATCAATCTGAGTACTAGCATCACCTCGAGGTGGTGTACCCAACTTGTGCAAATGCCCACAGGAGAAGTGGTTTGGAACCACTTATGCTTGGTTAGGTTAAATCTATCGCTCCCTGAAATTTGATAGCATTCTGCTCAAAGCCAGCTCTGACAGGAGCTTCATTACTTGCACAGGCGTTAAAACCCAGCCTCAGCTCTGCATCCCCTGGAAAAAAAAACATTTGTGGGCGGCCTGTGGCTTCCCTTTGAGTCAAGACATTCCTGGTTCACACTGGCACCTTTGTTACAGCCGATGAACTTGGGAATTCCAAAATTTGTACATGGGAAACTGAGTTTCAGAAGCTGCTTCAGAGTAATGCTCAATCACGTTTGCTGTTGTAAACGAGCTGTAGCCTGTTACTCACTGCTGGTAGTGGTCTGACTCATGTCATGCAAGGGAAAAAAGTCGCAAGGGGTTGAGGGGCTGTTTCTGTCCCTGATGCATTGCCTCACAGGAGCCTTCGTGAAGATCGAGTGGTAGTTTTGTAAAATCGAGTGAGCCCCAGAGGCTGATGGATGCGCTTTTCTAATTCACTGTCAGCAGTCACAGGCCTGCTCCCTAAAGACAGGATGTAGCTAATAATTGCCAGGTCTAGGAAAGGCAGGAACAGAAAATCGCTGAGTGTCAAATGTGAATATGAATAGTGGATCTCCACGAAGAAGAGAGGAAGCCAGAAACCCAAGGAAGCCTTGAGTTAGCGCGGGAGCGGCTAAGCGTCTGCAGCGAGCAGCAGGACTCGTGCTTGGAGCTTTCTGCTCACGGGTGTGAGGTGGACGGTGTGGGAGGGAGAGGTGGATGGCAGTCTCAGAGCAGGCAAAGCGAAGGGCACCTCTGTGAGTGTGTCCACCTGGCCTGTGCAGCCACTTCAAAACATCACCTCCTTGTCCTCCTGCCAGGCACGGGAGGAGCAAAAGGGAGGTCACCCCCGCTCCAAACCCTGGACCCCCCAAACAAAACAAAGCAAAACCCTGCCCTCTATGTGTATTCTTTCTTTAAACACCATACTGCTCTGTTACAAATCAGCTAAAAAACAGTATAAATAAGGTGTTTAAGATATCAGCTTAACAAAATGTTCCAGCTAATAACTCAATGACTTTTTGAGGGTATGAAAAGATCTATATAGACGCTTTAATTTCGCTGCAGAAAAGATGACAAGTAAATGCTTTACAGATTAATATAAATATTTGCCTGATTTAAAAATATAAACATTTTTTAAGAGCCAGAGGAAAGAAACTGTTGCAAAGTAAGTAACAAGATGCATGCTCTTCTGAGAAGCGGTTTGCCAGTGCTCCGTGTGATATGCTTTAGAATTTGAGAAAAAAAGGTGGGGGCAGAGGTTATGAAAGAGAGCTGCTTCTGGTCTTAAAAATTGATTGGTATCTCCTCTTGAATGATACAACTGCAGTTGTTTATAGTTGAATGATCTGTAATTTAAATAGAACTGAAATGCCCTACTCCAAATGAACACCTTTAATGCAAATGATTTTCAATTATAAGGGCTTTATATTTTCATTCTGGGATAGCAATAACATCAGAAACTTGGAACAAAAGTAAAAAGTGACATCTAATAGTTACATCCAATGAGTCCCAAGATTTAAGTTTCATCGAATTGTTCCAAAGACACTGGAGGCCTACTCTGGGCCACACGCTGCTCTGGAATGGTCCACACATTCCTATTTGTCATTATTGTTTTATGTGGGAGAGAGATTGGGGAGGATGAAAAGTAGAAAAGGTGAAAAATTGAAAATGCTTATTCAGAATTGGAACGTAGAAAATGCATCGCCAATAGAAGAAAGATAGTATCACTTGTTCTTACTCCAAAAACAGAATGGCACCTGTGGTCTGATAAGAGAATACATTACAGCAAATGGATTGCTACATTAATCACTAACGTTGTTGGTTGGTTTTTCATTCACGCGTTCATACACACTGGAGCATTTTCCAAAAATGCCATTGAGTACATTACATTATATTTGTAAAACTTTCCTGCCTATTGTATCATTTGGTTCCCTTAACAACTGTATGCTGTGGATAGACGCAGTGGTGATAGTCCCATTAAACGAATTAGGGTACACAACTATAAAGAGCTTATCTTGAAAATCCAGGGTTTTTAATTCCCAGTTCAATGTTTGTGTGTGTGTGTGTGTGTGTGTGTTTGATTTTCATTTTTGGTTTTGTTTTAATTTGTTTGTTTTACTCAAATAACTTCACTGAAGAGACAAAAGACAGGTTTGGGAACCAATTTGTTGTTTTAATGGTGGTTTTACCTTTTTGCCCCCTATTTACCCATCAAACACTATTTTACACATATTCAACTTTTGCAGGCCTTCCTTTCCTTTATCTCATTTAATTTTTAAAACTCTGTGTGATAAAATGTGGGATAATATTTCTTTCAATTTATAAAGAAGGAGAATAGGCCCCAAGAGGTTAAAGCTTTACAATCATAAATACATCAAGTTCTTCTTGTTTCAATCCCAGGGTTCTGTTTATTGCATGCCTCTAAATTTTTTAGAGAAGCTGTATTTCAAGACTACTTTTTACACCATTAGGTGCACTACTGGCAGATCGCTTTCAGGCACTGGCTTCACGTAAAGCCCTTGAATTGGGACAATCCTCTCAACCCCAAGATATTCATTTCAAAAGTTTACTTATGTTGAAATATTACTCCTTTTCTCTGTTTTCACTAACCGCTTGCTTTATTCTTTACATTACTGTATTGCTAAATGTGTGGCTGAGTAGGCGTCTTAAAAATATCGTCAGCTCTTTAGAATAATGAATGCTCATAGAGTTTCGTTTTTAGATTGAGTAATTTAAATACCCTGGAGTTGGCCCAAGATGCGATAGGGTAGGGAAGGTGGCTGCCTGCCCTTAGATTTCTTCAGAGATGAGGAGGACTATGGTTGTACGATTGGTTCCCATCACAGGTAAGGGCATGAGTTAGAGAGATTGAGATGTATGCTTCTGCTTTGCTTTGACACAGGCTCTCAGGAAACCTACAAAAACAGAGCCTAGAATGTAGTGCTCAAGTCTCCTGCTTCAAGTTGGCTTCCCATGAGCCTCTGAAGATGCTGGAGCTTCTGCCTAAAACAATTATTGGATCATGTTTTAGCTCTGGTAAATCTTCCACAGCCTTGAAGCCTCAGTCTAAGTATTTCTTCCTCTGAAACATTCCTTGTTCTCTCCTACCTGATCTCATGCTGTTTTATCCATCTCTCTGCTAGAGCCCAGTTTGCCTTTGCTATGAGCTGTGTGTTTGTATTCTCCCCCAAATTCCTATGTTAAAATCCCAATCACCAAAGTTATGGTACTAGGAGGTGGGACCTTTGGGAAGTGATGAGGTCATGAGGATGAAGTCCACCTGAATGGAACTAGTGTCCATATAAAAGAGGCCCCAAAGGGCGGTCCTGGCCCTTCTACCCTATGAGGACACAGTGAGAAGGTGCCTTTTACGACCCAGGAGCGGGGCCCTGACCAGACACCGAATTCACTGGTGCCATGACCTTGAACTTCTTGGCTTCCAGAACTGTGAGAAATAAATGCCTATTATTGATAAGCCACCCAGTTTATGGTATTTTGTTATACCAGCCTGAAAGAAGACTAAGACACCCTTCTATTATAAACATTTACTTAAATGTCTGTGTCCTCCATTAGACTACAAACTTTTTGAGAATGGATGTTATGCTTGTTTTGTCTCTTACTGACCTTGCCTGAGGTTGTCAAAGTCCCAATGAGGAGCTCCTTGGAGGAGATGGGAAGCCATGTGCAAAGCTGGAAAGTCAATAGCTTTGAATATTTTGAATATTTGAATATTTTTTATGGACCATGCTACCTTTCTGAAAATGTTCTGTAGAGTGTCAATATCTATTATCAGTATTAACCAAGGGTCAGCTTCTCTTGTTCCCTTTTCTTATTTCAGGACCACATTTCTTTATTATATTTAGAGAAAATGTGATTAATGTTATGATTACATCCAAAAGAGCCCACTTAGTAACTCCTTCTCAAAGCTATATGCTCATGCATAATACTGGCTGTCACCTGGAACATTAAAGCTGCTGTCCTCACTGATTATAATCATTGATTAGATATTGATTATATAATATTGATTATAATACCATATCAATATTGATATTGCTACCAGGACAGCAACAATAACTGAGCAATAGAAGAAAAAGATGTTGTATAAGTTTATATATTGATTATTGTATATAATAATCAATATTTAAAGTTGATATATATATAAAGTTGTATATATATAGTTGTATATATAAAGTTGTATATATATAAAGTTGTATAAGATTTATATAAAGTTGTATAAGATTATATATATAATAATCAATATATAAAGTTGTATAATATGAAGTTGTATAAGATTATATATTGATTATAATACCATATCAATATCGATATTGCTACCAGGACAGCAACAATAACTGAGCAATAGATGAAAAAGATGTTGTATAAGTTTATATATTGATTATTGTACATAATAATCAATATATAAAGTTGATATATATATAAAGTTGTATATATAGTTGTATATATAAAGTTGTATATATATATAAAGTTGTATAAGATTTATATAAAGTTGTATAAGATTATATATATAATAATCAATATATAAAGTTGTATAATATAAAGTTGTATAAGATTATATATTGATTATAATACCATATAAATACTGATATTGCTACCAGGACAGCAACAATAACTGAGCAATAGAAGAAAAAGATGTTGTATAAGTTAGGCTGGGCCAGCAATGTTGCAGTGACAAATAAACTTGAGATTTCAGTGGATAAACACAATAAAAGCTTATTTCTCACTCATGTGTTGTTAGGTCAGCCACACTTCCTTCATCGTGTAGCTCGCAATCGAATCATGTGGAATCCAAGATTAGCACAGCAGAAGAAATGAAGCTGAAGAGTCAGAAAATGTTCTAAGCAGCCACCGCTATCGCTTTCCAGTGTGCCCCTAGCCAGAGGCCAGTCACATGGAAGAATGTGTTTTCAAAAGAGGGTGGGACAACCTCCCTTGAAATCCAGCATTCTCAGTAAGCGGAAAATAAAGTGGACTTAGTGAAGTCAATGTTCCATACAGATTCACTGAACACTGGTGGGAAACTTACTTTTTGAAACAATTTTTTTATCCCTTTGGCTATACTCGTCCTTAGAAATTATAGATACTAAAATGTTTAATTATAGTTATTGATGTTTCAGCCTTATTACTCAGTAGACTGTTCCCAGGTTCAACATTGTTTCATTATAGAGTTTGATAAGTAACCTCATTGGGAACATCTCATTCTTCTGTTATGTCACCTAATCAATCTCATCTCTGGATGATCAAAAGATGGAAAAAGGGCTGCCTTCTATTTTTGAGCTTCTGTTTTTGAGCCATTTGGTTCGGTATAATGTTCTGACTTGTACGTGGAACTCTCCTGTGATGTTTTGTAATTCCTAAACGACTCCAAGGCTCACCTGAACCGGAGTGAGAGATTCTCTAAGGAGACCTCCATCTGGAGATTGGTTCCCTCTGTCAGTATTTGTACCAGCTATTCATGGATGCCCAGAAGCTGTCTAATAACCAGGGAAGTGTCTGGGTCAATGGGAGTTGAATCAAGCCTTTCAGCCTGCTGTTGCTGTAGTGTAAGTTGGGACTGCGATGCTGGGCATCTCATACAGCATGATTCACAACTGTGTTTACAGGACTAGCTGCACAACCACCTCTTACATATTAGTTATTCAATATTCATACATTGTTAGCTTTCAGGAAGGATTTAAAATGCAAAGCTCATTTGAACGTTCAAGAATATTTTGATTGATCAATCTCTCTTCTAGTCTGCCTCTTCAGTATGCGTCATTACTCCTTCTGTAAATATGATCTAATAAAATCTTTCCTTAACTCATCAATCCAATTCAACATGCTGTGTTGCCTTTCTTCTTTCTGTTTTGTGAATTAGTCTACACTTTCTGTTTTCGTCTCCTATTTGATTTTCCTTGAAATCTTGCTTTCACTTCAACTACTGTAGTGACCTAAAGGATCCCTAATCCCAAACATAGTAATTCTGAGATATGACTGCCTTCGATGTCCTTGATCAAATTTCCAGGTTACTTTCAGGTTTGGAGAGTCAGTCAATAAAGGGATCCACAGAGGAGATAGTATTGAAGAATGGGTTGATTTCAAATTGCAGAGATGGAATGAGGATATAAAAGGACACTTTAAGATGAGGCATTAGCATAAAGAAAATAGTGATTTGGCATCTACTATGTGCAAGGGTCTGTGCATATAGTTTATAATGAAGATCAAATTGTAAATCTGAGGTTTTAATGAGTTTGTAATCTATTGGTAAAGTAAGGTACCTATATAAATAACTAAGTTCCAGTGATTAATGTCACAAGATACTTATAAATGGCATGTTGCATACTTTTAGGAAAGTATGAAATGCATCTGGAAATCTGATTAGAAATTAGCAATCAGAAGGGGAGTGTATCAGCATGTCTCCACCTGTAGTTGTAGAGATCTATACAGCCTAATCAGAAGAAAACCTGAATGTAGTAGAGTCTGTAACGAGATTTGGGAAAGTAATATAGGAAAGGTTGGTTAAAGATAACCTCTGAAAGCATTAAATGGCAGGCTGAAAATTTGAAATACATTCCACAAATAAGAATGTGTCTCTGATGGTTTAGACCAAAATGATTCTTTGTATTGAGACTATGATAATCTGGTATGCCAAAGTCAATCATGCCAGTTCATCAGCTGAGCATTTGGTTTGAGGCAACTCACGATGTCACCTAGGTTTCCCGTGTCACCCCTGCTGAGAGGGCTGCCCTTGTCCTTCTAAGCTAATGTGGTTACTCTCTTTCTAGGCATGCACCTGTAAACTGAAACTTATCAAATCTTCTCTTGTTTTGAGCAGTAACAGTTATAAAAGGAAAATTGTGCCTTTCATTTCTTTTGAAAAGGAAATAATTGTTTTTCTTCATTAAGACCTTCAAAAGTCTTTGTCTAGAGGCTCTGAAACTGGATAAGAAAATATTATTTTCAACAAGTAGAAGAAAATTGATATTAATGAAGAGTCTAGAAAAAAATTGAGAAACAATTCATCTTGGACAAAGCAATATGTGAACAGTTATATTTCTATTGTCCGGGAAACAGGAAGGTTCTGTAAATTAGTACTTCTGCCTGAATCACTGTATTTTAAAATGCCCCTTTATATTAATGCCCTAATCTGTTTTGACAAAGCTGTCACTACATGACTCTCATTTTACAAATGGAAGTAGCTTGACTAGTCTCCCATGTGGCTGGAAATATATGAGTTTGAAATCCAAGAACTTTTATCTGAAATAAAATTGGAAGACTTGGTACACTGATATATGTATATATTTTTAATCATGAAATATGTAGAAACCAGGTCTAAAAATAAATAATGATTCATCTAAGCATTCAGTCCACACAGCCTGCTGCTGTGGCACTGTTCCACAGCAGAGCAAAGTGGCTGATCTCTGGAGAGGCAAGCTATGGTTTCAGTCATTTATATACATTTTAATAGACTTACAATTAGATTCAGGATTCCAGCTGGAAAGCCAGAGGAGGAAGTCAGGAAAATGTGTCCCTGGGTATTTTCTTTATAGGGATTATTGAGAAACAAGCCACATACTGAAATAGGAGAGAGGTGGGAATTGGTGTCCCTAAAATTGAAGAATTTGAGCAACCCAAGATCTTTCAGAAGTTGTACTTAAAATGCCAAGCATCTGCGATGGAGCTGGAGAGGCTGACAGTTTTGACATTCAAAGTCTGATCATTAATGCCACACTCATTCCAACCAGGGCTAGCTAAGTCATTATTTGCATTAACTAATATATTATGAACGGAAGTCAAACTGGCCATGGAAATAATGGAATTTGGAGATTCCATTTACTTCTTTGGCAGAAACCCAGTATCTGTCCACTTTCCCTTTTCCCTGGCACATTGAATGCAGTTGGGATCCTGCATGTAGATATACAAGGAATGGATTTTTTTTTTCTTCTCCTTACATTTGTCAGTTTTCACATTCATAACTTTTGCTAATTACAAAGTGATTCTAGCAAATTACTTCATATCGCCAAAACAGAACAATAAAATGTATAGAAATGTTGTATCTTTTCTTACTTGTTTCTTATAGAAATCTACCTCTATTTGATCATCAGAGTTTGAAATATTAAACAATATCATGGTTTGGTAAACTTTACCTAACCATTAAACAAAAAATTGAATGATGAAAACTCTTTTTTTTTTTTTTTTTCTAGACAGAGCCTTGCTCTGTGGCCCCGGCTGGAGTGCAGTGGTATGATCTCAGCTCACTGCAACATCCACCTCCCGGGTTCAAGCAATTCTCCTGCCTCAGCCTCCCAAGTAGCTGGGATTACAGGCGTGCACCACCATGCCTGGCTAATTTTTGTATTTTTAGTAGAGAGGGTCCTGACCAATGAAAACTCTTACCAAGCCAATAACAATTAAAGAGTCAATTGTTAGCAGGTACCAAAATGCTGTGCTCTTCAAGTACTTTGCTTTGCAGGAAGTGATTTCAAAGGAGGCCCTTTCATTTCCTTGGACATTCTTTATAAAATGTAACCCCATCATCCCCATTCATTAGTATCAGTCAGTGTAACAAAGTAATTTAACTATTTTCTTAAAAATGTCTTTGATTCCAGTTATTTCTCACCATTTCCTTAGTAATTTTTTACAGCCATGGTCAGGCCCCCTCTTTCACACTGGAACATTCCCTGGGAATAGGCTTCCAGTTGCCGTCCTGGATTCTGTAGCTGCTTCCCTCTCTGCTGTCCTGTGCTCATGGTCCTAAATATTTGTCCTCAAATGCCCTTCATCACATTCCTCTGTCAAGGAAGCGCAGACCCTCCAGAGCCCATTCCAGATTCTCGTCCCCATCCTTCCTTCCTGCTGCCTCTTTCCATACACATACACCCCACACACACACAGAGATTACACACACACACCACACACACACACAGAGACTACAGAGGCTACACACACACACACCACACACACAGAGACTACACACACACACACACCACACAGACACACAGACACACGGACTACACACAAAAGCCACACACACAGAGACTATACCCACACACCACAAACACAGAGACTACACACATACACACATACACATACATGCATACACACACACGCACACACACGCACACATACACACATGTACACATACACGCACACACATACACACACATGCACACACAAACACACACACACATACACACACACACAATTCTCACAGCCAGAAATGAAGTGCATTCCATGCCAATCTTTTTTTACTGCGTCCTTCAATATTTACGTTTCTTAAAACTTTGACCTATGTTATTCTGTCTTGGTTAATAGAGGCTCATGATTCCATATATTGCTCTCCTGGCTGAACATTTTTCTTCAAAATATTATCACCTCCTTCAGGAGCGTCCCTGATTCTACCAACTTTACACCATGTAGTAATTCGGTTTGTGCACAATGAGCAACCAGCAAAGGCATCTGATTAGCTATGATCTCCTAGAGCCCTATGGGTGATGCTTTAGGCATCTGATTAGCTATGGTCTCCTAGGGCCCTATGGGTGATGTTTTCCATTGCCTGGTTGCCTAACGATAATGGTCTTTACAGCCCCGAGGTCGTTCAGATGCCCTTCCTGCGCCTTGGTCCTGCGGTCATTGTCCCCCCTTGAGTTTCTCTCTTGCGGTGGGTGCCGTGAGTTCTCACGCGAGCGGAGCAGGCCTCTGTCTCTGCTTGAGTGGGTTCCGCTAGCTCCAGGCGAGCCAGGGCTCAGTGCAAGTGGCAAGACCATGCCCCGCGCTCACTGGAGGGTCTCCGTGCCAGTGTGGGATTCTTCTTGTAACACGTTTTTGAAAAAAATTATTTTATGTTAAATATAACACAAACACAGAAATGCACAAAAGTGTAAGTACAACATAATGAATGCCAAGGCCCTCATAACACCCACTGAGGTCAGAGGCCGCCCCCTCAGGGCCCGCACGACTAAGGCCCTTTCCCGACTTTTATGGACATCACCTCCTTACTTTTCTTTACAGTTTTATCACCCAATTGTGCTTCCCTACACACTAGAATTTAGTTTTTCCATCTATTTTTATTATCTTGTAATAATTTTAAAAACTCGAGACCTATTTCTGTCTAGGTATTAATGTCTTATGAAGGCTTCAATAGGCTCTCTTCTGTGTTTCAGTTAACTTACGTACACTGTCTCTATATCTCTATTGTACTGCTCACCCTCATCCACATGTATACCACCATCCCTACTCTATCCCCATCAATCAATCAATCCATCAGTCTACCTATCTAATTATCCATCCCTCTAGTCTCTCTGTCTCCCTACCTGCCTATATCATCCAAACAGATTTTATTGGTCCTTTAGAGTTGTCTTGACTTCTGAGTCATTAAGCATAATAAGATCTCTGTTATTTTCTGGACTTTAAATGTTGATATAAGTTAACAATTATGACACTGAAGTTAGGGAGAAAAGCAGTATAAACTGTATTTGGATTTGCTAGTATGTGCAGATATTGATTGGATGCAAGAAAAAAATCTCTTTTATTAAAGGATTGTTATGAAAATCCATAAAGATTATGTTCAGAAAGATCACTTTTCATTCCAGGAAGTACTCCTGAAAATAGTATTAAGGACAATTCAGACAGTAATTTTCTTTAGAGGTGTTCAGATGATTTCCAGACGTTATCTTCTTGTTCTTAATATAGACTTTAAGGGTATCGAATAGTGAGTAAGTCATGATAATTTTACTTTGAACCAAACAAAAAAGGCAGAAAGAAAATATGATGATGAAAAGTGAGCATAGTAAATAAGCATGTAACCTAACACAGACTCTAAGAATTCCTGTAAGAATTCGGTCTCTCTGACAAAAGACGCCTGATTTTCCAATGCCAACCATAAGCCTGAAAAGGCCAGGGCAAAAGTATTGCAAGCTGAAAAAGTGCATCTCCTTAAGTTTTAAGTCAAAATAAGACAGAAGGTAATGAAGCCTGCTAAGGAATTCTACCATGGGGTTTTTCATGTTTGGTTGTGATTACAACTATCTTCCTCCTGGCAGAACTAGCTGAGGGTTAAGGGACTTTCATCATTACTGAAACAAAACCACGCCAACAATATCAGGGAACTGAGATATTTCCAAACAGGATGGGTAGGTTTGCCTAGGTTGTATAGCCTGGGGCCTAATGGCAGGAGCGCATTTGTTGACAAAGTCAACATAAAAAGGATAAAGTAGGCCGGGCGAGATGGCTCACGCCTGTAATTCCATTACTTTGGGAGGCCGAGGCGGGTGGATCATGAGGTCAGGAGATCGAGACCATCCTGTCTAACACAGTGAAACCCCGTCACTACTAAAAATTAAAAAAAAAATAGCTGGGCATGGTGGCGGGCACCTGCACTCCCAGTTACTTGGGAGGCTGAGGCAGGAGAATGGCGTGAATCCGGGAGGCGGAGCTTGCAGTGAGCTGAGATCGCGCCACTGCACTCCAGCCTCGACAACAGAGTGAGACTCCTTCTCAACCAAAAAAAAAAAAAAAAAAAAAAAAAAAAGGATAAAGTGAACGCCCATTTGGAAAAGTATGAAGTTGTCCTAGTGATGTCCTTCACTCCTATTTATCCAATTTCTCTACATTCAAATGAAGTACTTGAATGATATCATATTTAAAGTAAGGTATTTATGTTTGAGGCTAAAAGTGCATGGCAGTGTGAAGTGTGACTCTGAAGAGCGATCGCTCTGTGGCTAACTATAAGGATGCGCTATTATGTATATAACACCGACAGAAGATCAGTAATGCATTGTATTGTTGAAGTACAGTGAAAATGATATTTTGATTTATTTCAATAGTTGCTGAATGTCATTCCACTCTTCAGAACGGTGAGTGTAATACAGGATCCCTTCTTCTTTTGAATTAAAACAGGTGCTTAGCAATGACACTGGAGTGTCAGTACAATACAATGAACCATTAAGTTGACTTTGGTACCATGTAAGTGGGTTTGGAGTACAAGCAAGACCTATTTAGGCTCAAAAGTACAATATAACAAAATGAGATTGGTAAAACCTGCAAATACACATCTACCCCAGCTCCTCATATTGGGGTTTATTAAGGAAAATGGTGGGTCTTGGTGAGTAAATATGAATTTATTTCATAATACAAAGTACATAAAAATTGCTAAAGTTGTTTCTACTTATAAGGGCTTTTTTTTTCTGTCAGTTAAGCTTACTTGGCATTCACTTGATCATTTGTTTAGTTATTGGCTTGTTGATAGCTCCACTTACATTTTAAGTGCTAGTTAATTAATTTAGGTCACCTAAAGGAAATGAAGAAGTAATTGTTTTAGGACTTGGAACTCACAGAGATATCTATGTTGCAGTTTCTTAACGTACACAGCATGGTGGGTTATTTTTGAAAATGCAGAGGTAAAAACTTCATATGTATTTTGCATGTGTATTTGTGAATAAAAAGAATAGAGAAAATTTAGACTCTAGCTTTATATTTTGAGGAATTTTCTTAAATTTTCTTATTATTATCATGATTTCATACCAGTTTCTAGAAGCATATTGTCACATGTAGATCTGAAATTGCTTTTACAGACAGTTGAAGAATGTTTGGAGAAACTGTTTATGGCTGCTCTAAGACATTAAGCTTCTGAGAGTCGCAAGTGTGACGTTGTCTGTATCAGATCATTAACTCCGTGAAAAATAAGTGATGTCTTCTCATCTCAGGATTTCTCTCTCTGTTGTGCATTAATGTTGACATGAATTAAACTGAATGAAATGGAACAAGTATAAAGTGTTTCTACATCTAGATTTATTTAAGCTGGAGCCACAGAATGGCTCTTCTACACCTAAATGGAATCCTAACCACCCACTAAAAATGGGGGCCATGTTGCCCACCTTGGTGGATTTTTGAGAGGATTCGGTACATCAGTGCTGTCGGGATGCTTAAACCTGGTAGAGGCATCCTCCCGCCATCTCTAATCCCACATTGACTTAACCACCAGGCCCTGTTGATTCTGTTTGCAAAGGTATTTCTGATCTGTCTGGTTCTCTCCTTCTCTACGGCACTTCCCTAATTCACCATCACCGGTCATCTGGAATATAGAAAGCAGCTCCTAACTAGCCCTCTGCCTCAGTCTTGCTCCATTCTAATCAAGCCTTCTCTCTCCAACCAGGTGGGCCCTCTCAAAACACAAAGTTCATTACATTACCCCTTATATAAAACCTTTCAGAGGCTTCTCCAGTCCTCGAGATGAAGCCAAATCCCTTCATATAGCTTACAAAGTCATCTTTGATCTGAGGCTGTCCAGCTCTCCAGTGTGGTCTCTGAACTCTTTTTCTCTGGCACTCTAAGCTTAAAAAAAAAGTATTTATGGATGAACAGCTGCAAAAAAATGGACTTCATGAGTTTAATAAATCTGTAACTAACATTTTTTTAACTTGCAGACTATAATATTCTGCAAGCTTGAGGCCAGAACAGTGGAAGTATTTAGATGAAATTAGACTATAGTCAAACGTCAGCTAGTAATAGCACCCTGGGAAATCACTTGGCTTTTCCACATCTTGGGTCCTGATGTGCAATATGAGGGCTTCTTCAGCAAGGTGATTTACCAGGTCTTGAAAGACATCAGGCGGGTGTGCATGCATTGACTGCCTATGCATATCATGCATACACATGAAGTCTACATACTTGGTATGTGCACTGTATACAGCTATTATGTCCATGTGTTGTGCACTCACATAGTATGTGCATATCATGCATGCACATGCAATCAAGCTAAGCCATGTGCCACCAGAGGCCAAGTCTACACTCAGACAGTCACTCCTTTTTGGAGCTGTGATTTACAGTTTGGTTCATATATTTGAATTGTCAATGAGAGTTACCCATTAAGATGTTAAACAGCCTGATTTTAATCATCATGTATTGAGCTGACTCTACCACATTTTAAGCACCCTATGTGCACCTTTTCATTTAATTCTTGTAATAACCGCATAAGATGAGTGCCTTCAGCCTGAGACTGCAGAAAAGAAAATTGAGGCTTAGGGATGTAAAATCTCGCCTCACAGGTACAAAATGAAAGAAACAATCCAAACTAGGATTTTGAAGCCCAGTCTGTCAACAGCTCAAGGTTTAACATTGTGGCATACTCTTCCTAACCTCCTTCCTTCCTCCACAGTATGACAAATACTCTGCTTCATTGGCACAGTAAATTCTCTTTCAAACTGTGTGTCTTCTCTGATCTCAGGGAGAAATTGTGACCTAGGACAGAAAGGATTTGAGAGCAGGAGGCTGCTGGCTACTCATGGGACCCCTGGACTGGGGCAGACAGCAGCGTGGCTCTCAGCCCTGTCCTCACATGGCAGTTGTGAGAGGGATGAACCTTGCAGCATGTCAACCATTAAAGGCAGACTGTGAGTATTTCCTCAGTAACAATTATAATAATGATAAAGCCAGTTGCCATATGCCTGGCATTAGGGCCTGAGTTATGTGTATCACAAGTATCCATATTTATCAAATTTCAGTGCAATACACATGGCCACACATGGGTGTTTGCTTTATCTGTGCACCTCCGTACTGTCATGTGATAGACTCACTTTTTCTCATTTACATGAGCAAATGCAAAAAGTAATCTTATCACACTGAAACAAAATGGGGAACCCAGTACCACTTGTCATGAACGTGAGGTGTAGAAATGCATGCACCACTAGCTACATGTGTAAAATTGAGAAAGTTCATCTGTATGCCACGCCAATCATCAGCTCTATTAAAGCTGTGTGTACTACACCGCACCTTAGGAAGCCTAGATCTATCTTCTTATCCATCACTCATTTCCACAGTCTTGGAAGATTGAACATAATAACTCCATTTTACAGATGCAGAGACCAAGAGAGTTTAAGTAAATTGCCAAAAGTCTTATGTCGTTTTTCTCATTCCAAAGCACCTGATCTTTCTACTGTGAATCCAGATATAGGTTAATTAGATTCATCTTATGCAATGTATTTCCGTAGTAGACACACATTTTTTTGTGTCTATGCTGTTTATGCTCCTTATCTTAAAAGTCATGGTAAGTAAATGTGAAAATCTTATGTGTTTTTTTTTTTTTTTTTTTTTTGAGATGGAGTCTTGCTCTGTCGCCCAGGCTGGAGTGCAGTGGGGTGATCTCGGCTCACTGCAAGCTCTGCCTCCTGGGTCCATGCCATTTTCCTGCCTCAGCCTCCCGAGTAGCTGGGACTACAGGTTCCCACCACCATGCCCTGATAATTTTGTGTATTTTTAGTAGCGATGGGGTTTCACTGTGTTAGCCAGGATGGTCTCGATCTCTTGACCTCGTGATCCGCCCACCTTGGCCTCCCAAAGTGCTGGGATTACAGGCGTGAGCCACCATGCCCGGCCGATCTTATGTATTTTTATACTAGAATTTAGGTCATTATGCACCTCAGAAAATTCTCCTTAAAAATGAGAGTGTTTTTCAATATTCCTATCTTTGAAACACTGATGTTTAATGTTGTGTATTGTCTTGCCTGCTGTTCATGCAAACTCCAGAGTACTGGCTTAGAAAAATCCCAAGGAAAGAATCAACCAATGTGTATCTACGGGACTGCAGGATGGACTCAAAGCAAACCATTTTCACTAAAATGATGAAACTTCCCATTTGTTTTGGAAGCCCTTTCAGCCTGTGCACCTAATTCACAGATCCCCTACATTCAGAGAGAGGGAACCACGGAAACAGTACTACCCGTGGGGACACCACGTGTCACACTGCGTGGCTGGCTTTTATGCCGCAGTGCGATGACATGCCGCGTTGAGACATTGTAACGAGAATGTGTAAGACTTTACATCTGTTACCTTCAGATCTCATTGGGGAAGAAGGAAGAAGTTATTGCAGGCAGTGTTAAAAAAGAGGACAGGGAGTGAGAGAGACAAGGAGAGAGAGAGAAAGAGAGAGAGCACAATTCTATTACTCAAGTCATCCATTCCTGACCATACAGCGCCTTAATATTTAATATTTATAACTATACTCAGGGAGACAGGACTGGGGGCATTTCTCTAAGAGTCTGCTGATGTGTTCCCACCTGGCAGGAAGACCAGAAGCCCTCATCAGGGGCTTTCTGCCCCAACACAATGCTTAAGTAAGTCTTCCCATCACTTCATGTTTTAAAACATCCATATTTTTAGAGTGGTCATCTTAACTTAATTTTTAAAATTATAGTTAGAGCCAGGATGCAGACGCCTCACTGGAAGCCTGACAAGCAGTCACACAGTGCCTGTAGCAAACAGCCAGTGTCGTGGATGCATGTCTGCCTCAGTAGATGTTGTGCAAGAGTGTGAAAGGTGTTTCTTAAAATCTGCCAGCATGCCAACATTCACAACAGCTTTCTCAGTAGCAAGTACAAGAAAGATATGTATGTTTTTTTCACAAACATCATGCCTATTTAAAGAAAGGGCCAGAGTGTGTTTCTTTGATCCGTATGACATCACGCTGTGTTGTGACGGGCTATTTTACCATCAGTAAATAAGTGACATGCAGGCTTTTATGGGGTGGTGATGTCATAAAGATGTTTACAAGGAAGGGAGGGTGTCTGAGGAGTCTGGCAGAGAATGGGGAAAGCAAGATGGTGTCATCTGGTTGGAGGGGAAGTAATACTAGGTTTGTAATTTTCTGTATCGTGTTATGTTTTGTATTTTCATTTGTATGACTTCTAATTTCTTTATAAAACCAGGTCACTAACTTGGTGACATTTTCATGCATGACTTGATACTATAAAACAACATTCACTACTATTCTTTTTGCCTTATGTACTATCATTTACATGTTTGAACTTCTCTATTTCTTCTCCTCTCCCAATAAATGTTGAGCTTTGAATTGCATATAGATTATTTTTCAGTCAGAGATTATCTTCTGAAAAAATTCTACACACATTTCTAATTCCTTATATTTTCTGTTACTACTACTAATACTATTAATACTACTACTAATAATAATAGTGAGCACCTACTATATGCCAGGCAACATACTCAGAAATTTATATGCCTAATTTATTACTCCTAACAACCCCTGCAAGGTTGGCATATAGCCAACATTACTATATCGTATTACAGATTTGGAAACTAAGTATAAGAGAGAATAACTAACCCGTCTAATGTCACACAGTTACTAAGTGTTAGACCTAGAATGCTCCAAGAAATTTTGAAATGGAAAAGTCTTCAAGGCAAAAGGATTCCTCAGCACTAGTAGAGGCAAAGTGGCGAGGTGAGGCTTGAACCAGCCACTGCCCCGTAAGCACTGAGCAGCATTCTCAGTATCTGCTTTGGAGGCAGCTCCTACTGCCTGTGGCCTTGTCCATACACTGCAATGCTTCTGCACACCAAACTCTGCCGGCTGGCTCTAGACTGAGATGGTTCAATTCCTCATTGCACGGATTCATTCTTGGGGTCCTTTCCACTACGGGCTTAGCCATAGAACAAAGGAATTAAGAAAAAAGTCACATTTTTTGGTGCAATACATCTTAGCAAGTAAAAAGGAAAATGTTGCAAAGGAAGAGACCCTCCACTCTTAAAGGTTGTAGTTAAAAATTATCAACTGATTTTAGCCACCCATCTCTACCTGCTAAAGGATTTTCAAACTTATATCACTGTATTCATTTCGATAATCCAGTAAGATGTGTGCCAAGCTCAAATCCATGCTCCCCACAGCCACCAGGAAAATGTAGCTAAAATTGAATCCTACCACATGTTTTTTCTTAAAATTCTTTATAGCTCTTCTTTATCTATATTTGTACTGCCCAATAGGGTACTCACTAGCCAGGTGTCACTATTGAGCACTTGAAATGAGTTAGCCCAAATTGAGATATACTGTAATTGAAAAACACACACCAGATTTCAAACACTTAATAGAAAAATAAGAATGTAGAATAGCTCATTGGTAACTTTTATATTGTTTACATGATGAAATGATAACATTTTGGATGTAGTAGGTAAAATTAAAAATGTATTACAATTGACTCCACCTGTTTCTTTTTACTTCTTTCAAAGTGGCTCCCAAAGTGACCTCCCACGTGGTCCTGGAGAACCACAGACAAAGGTGATTCTCCTAAGAATAAAACCAGGGCAGTCAGGATAACTGATTAAGAAACTTCACAGCCAGCTAGAGAAACCTCACTGTCCTTTCAGTTACGGGACATTCACCAGGGAGCATCTTCAAAGGGAAGTTGCTTCCCCTGCCTCCAAAACAAGTCTCATTGTCTCTGTTTTTGCATATTGGGCGCATGGGGAATGGTTTAACTTATCACTTGTCTGTAGACCACCCAACCATGAGGAGCTAGATCAGGTCTGACTGAAAGAACTGCATGTGGATGAGAGATCCTTAACCTTGACCTTGAGCCGGGTGGATTATCCTGATGAATTTAGGAAGTGGTATGTTTCAGGAGGGCACGGACATTCTTATAGACATGTGGATGCGAAGAAGTAGCTGCAAAAAGGGGCGAAATGTAATCAGTGGCTGTTATTTTTGCCTTACAGCATCAACCATTTCCCCTTCAAATACCTGCATTGCAGTGTCTTGGGGGAAACTACCTCTCTATTATGTTCAATAAATATAAATATAAAGTTGTGAAGACATAGCATTTGATCTAGACCGGCTAATTAGCCATTTTGGTTCTGTAATCAAGCATAAGGTTCAGACAGAAACATGTGATGCAAATCAAGCCCATCAGGGCCAAGGGCATTCAGCACCTGAATTGAATCTGTGCTCCCTACAAAATGAACTGTTGTCCCACAGGTGCACAGAGAGGACCAGCACACTAGAACTGCTACAGCTGCCTTACAAGCAAGTGATGCCTAGAATAGGTTTGGCCCCAAGGCAGCAGAGCTGAGAGCCGAGGGAAGTCTTTGTCCTGTTAACCCGGTTTGAGATGTGGGTCAGGTCCTACCGCAGGAGTTATTTATTTTTGTTTGTTTTTATTAAACTCATTAGAGTTAAATTTGCTAGTGACAGCATCATCAAACATTTAATCCAAATGATTACAATATTCTTGGCAAAATGAGAGATATGTGATAATAATGAAAAGTCTGCAAAGCACTTTGGTTGCTTTTTATAATGCCTGGCTCAAAGCATAGGTAACTGATTAGTGCTTCTAGAGAAAGAATTTGAAACACTAGACCAGATTATGTTACACACGACTAGGAAGGAGAGAGTGCTATTATATTTTCAATATTTATGTGGCATAAAATTAAACAAATCTGGCTTGAATTCTTCTTGGAGCTTTTATTTATTATCTTTAAATTCAACGTATATTTTTAGATGTGGATCTGGCATTTGTATTATATCGCAAATGTTTCCAACTTCTTTGGGGGGGATTGAGAGAATTTAAACATACATGAGTGTGCACGTGTGCAGGCAGGCCCGTGTGTGTGCATGGGTGCGTGTGCGCGCGCACACACACACACACACACACACTCTTTCAAATAAGTATAATTTTTAAATTTGAAAATGGCATCTCAAAAATTCTGAGTGAGAATATGCCTTTAGAAGGTCTCTTCTTACAGGTATTGACCAAAATAAAAATTCACATTGATTAACACCCACAAAAATTCAGCTGAAGGCAGCATAAAGTCAACCTAATCTTACCACTTTCCCCTAAATTAAGCTATACTTACTTGGTTAAAAATATAAAACTTTTGTAATAATATTGTTTAATTTATGTAATTTATGTAAAAAAAAATTGTGTGCCATTATTTCTCACCCTAAAACATATGCATGCTTTTTGAGGCTTTAAAAGGGTGAGCTGAATGCTGCTTAGACAAATGTGTTGTATTAATCTTGTGTAATATTTAGAAAATACAACTAAACACATCCACTTAGAATATGAGAAAATATTGAATTGAAAATTGACATTGAAATGTTAAGCCTTGTTTATATTTTCTAAGGGGGTATATCTTGGGCTTTTCAAAAAAATTCTTTTCCTTTTGTGGTTTGGTTAAACTTCAGGTGGGAAGGAAGCATTAACACAGAGCCTGAAATACCGGTCTGCAACAGGTCATAAAAGAACGTTGTGTATTGAGTTATCTGTAGTATTTATCAATTGGGGAGTATCCAATATCACATCCACTTAGCTTCCCTGTGGCATAATGAAGCTGTTTATAAAACTCCCATGGTGATGTCAGTACAGAAAAGTAACTCTGTGAATAGAGGTTGGCTGCCTCAAGAAGAGAAGAAATGCCATAACCAGCATGAAACAAAATGAGAAGGCAACCTGGCATTCTCTTGTCTGCTGTTCATCTCAGATTATGCCATATTCATTTTGATAAAGACTCGAACAATGTTTATGAAAATTTTAGGGCATGCTGCGTACTTTACCTACATCATTACTATTACTGTATCTTAATATATTTTCAATGTGAAAATTGATCACACAAAGAGTGAAACTTCTCAATCTCTACCAGCTTCTAGAACTTACTTTACAAAACTTAAAAGAGTTTGTTTTTCTTTTATATTTTTGCAGCTGGAGTGGATATTAATCTAAGCATGAATTCTAAATGCTGGGTCATTGAACAACTTGGAAGCCTTTAGTAAAATTGTCAATAGTCAATTGTGAGACCAGCACAGTGGCTCATGCCTGTAATCCCAACACTTTGGGAGGCCAAGACGGGTAGACTGCCTGAGCTCAGAAGTTTAAGACCAGCCTGGGCAACACAGCAGAATTCCGTTTATACCAAAAATACAAAAAGATTAGCTGGGCGTGGTGAGGTGTGCCTGTGGTCCCAGCTACTCAGGAGGCCGAGGTGGGAGGATTGCTTGAGCCTGGTAGGCGGAGGTTGCAGTGAGCCAAGATTGTCCCACTGCACTCCAGCCTGAGTGACAGAGCGAGACTCCCTCCCTCTCTTTCTCTTTCTCTCTCCCTCCTCTCTCTCTCTCTATATATATACACACACACATATATACACACACATATATATACATATATACACACACACACATATATATATATATAAACTGCACACTTGTGATGTTGACATAAAGATATGAAATCTGTGCTGAATTATTTCCCATTCTCAAAACAGTCCCCCTTTGCTACAGAGCAATGAAATGTTTGGTAGAAATAATTTTAAATGTATGTTGTATTCAGTTTTGAAATTTTACTCAATGCTATACATCACTAGAAACAGTTATTCTTGCCTTCTTTATAACCATGCTATTTAATTGTTGATGTTTTGATGAAAATATTTACTGTTTTTAATATAATTTAGTTTCCACATTATTGGATATGTTGATTCAACTTTATTTCTTTATTATCTCATAAATGTAAAAACCTGAGTAGGTTAAAACACTGATATTTTCAGTTCTGTGGAGGTGGTTTTCATAAGCAGATATACACACCTAAATCAACTCATATTAACAGCAATTTCTCAGTAGAGATTCCATATTCTTCAGTTCATCTCAATTTGTCTTTGTAGACTAACCAAACAGGAAGTCAATAGTGAATGAATATTATGAAAATTCTATACAAAACTAATTTGTATTAATGCTCAATTCAGAATATCTTATTACTTTTGTCCTTTCATGATATAAACCATATCTAACATATAATAAATACATATACATATATAGACTAATGAACGCAATGTTTCAGTTAAAAGAACTAAGAACTAAAGGCTTCAGTCAAAAGCAAAAATTAACTGGCAGAATTAAAAAATTCCAACTGTATGTCAATTATGAGAAACATATCTTAAGCATAAGGTTAAAAAAAGGACAAAATAGAAGAGATATAAAGGAAATACCAACCAAACGAAATCTGTGTAACTATGTTATTACCAGAAACAATTGACGTTAAGGCAAAGCATTACTAGAGATAAAGAGGTAATAATGAAAGATTCAGATGACAAAAGGTTCAATTTACTAGGAAGATGTAACAATTTATAGATTTCAGGCAATTTATGGCCTTAAATATGAAAAGATAAAATTTACACAATTATAAGAGAAAATGGAATAACCCACAGTTATTGTGGGAAATTCTGCAATACCACCCTCAATAATTAAAAGAGCCAGAAGATAAAAACTCATTAAGGATAGATAAATTTAAAGAAAGAGATTAGCAAAGCTCACCTAATGAAGAAAAAGAGAGAGGAAGTGAGAAAGAAAGAGAAAGAAAATAAAAAAGAAAGAAAGAAGGAAGAGAAAGGAAGGATAAAAGAGTGAGAGGATAAGAGGAAGGGAGCAATGAAGAAAGAAAAGAGTTGAACTCAGTTGCAGAATATATACTTTTTGCAAGCATACTTGGAACATTTTTCTAAGTTTGAACATACTCTTGTCCATAAAATAACTCTCAACACATTCCAAAGGGTAAAAGTTACACAGAGTATGCTTTTTGACAACTATGCAGGTAAGGTGGAAAAAAAGAACAAAAAAAATGCTACAAAATATCCTCGTGTTTGGAAATCGAGAAATACACATCTACGAAACCCACAAACCAAAGCAGAAATTAAGATGGAAATAAAATATTTTGAAGTAAATCATAGTGAAATTACTATATATCAGAATAATTGGGATATTAATAGAGCAGTACTTAAAGAAAAAATGTATTTATATAAATGTATACTGAAGCCTACAAATTAATAAACCAAACACCTATCTCACAAAATTAAAAGAAAAAGATACTGAAAAACTAAAGCAAAAAATAAATTTAAAAATCAAGAAAAAAGTAATAATATTATTTATGTGTTCCCACCTGGCAGAGGACGAGAAGCCGTCATAATCATAATAATCATAATAGAAGTCAATACAATAAAAAACAAACACAGAGAAGATCAACAAATCCAAATGGTGTTTTTTTCAAAATGAATAAATTGATAGACAGTGAGACTGGTCAAAGAAAGAAGGTGCAGGTAATCAATTTCATGGATAAAATGGATCAGTCCTTATAGACCAAGCAGATATCAAACAGTTTATAAAGTAATATTATGAGCAACTCTAAGCCAATAGAACATTTACTTGAAGTGGATGAAATATTACACAAAAATAAAACTCACCAAAATTGTCCTTCCCTTTTATAGATAATCTGATTAATCCTTAATTTAAGGAACTAAATTTCTAAAAGAAGCAAAAGATAACTTCACTAAGAAAATGTTAGATCCACATAATGTAGCCGCTAAGATTTTTCTAAATATTTAACAGAATAAAATTTGAATTATAAATAATTTTTTCTTGACTTTATTAACTAATCTTTTAGATAAGTTAGATAAAATTATAAACTACTCTCTCATAGAGATAAAACACCTGAAACAAAATATTAGCCAGATTCAAATGATATAAACCATGACCTCATTGATTTTAAACCTGAATGCAAGAATAATTGCTCTTAAGAAAACCAGCATATTTCAACTAAAAATGGTTATTAAAGGAGATTAATAATACAATAATTTTAATATATGCATAATAATATTTGAGAAAATTAAAAATCGATTTTTAATGAAAGCACTTAAATTAAGAATAGAAAATAACTTCCTATACTGATAAAAGAAATTCAGCAAAACAACAACAAACAACTTAATGACAAAATGTTAAAGTGTTTCCCTTAGGTTCTAACTTAGCGAGAGAATGGCTCTATCATGTATTTCTTTTCAGTATTGTACGGAGTTCCTAAACAGGATTTTAAAAATTGTAAGTTATCTAGTGTATTAAGTTTTTAAAAAATAAGTATAAGAATTGGAAAAGAAGAAATAAGTTGAAAAGAATAAACAAAACTATAATTATGTGTACATGCTCTGATGGAAAGTCTCCAAAAAGATCTATTAAAAAAAAACTATAAGAATTAGTGAGAGTTTGCCAAAGTTGGTGACAATAAATCAATCTAAATCAATTTTTAAAACTCTATTTCTCTACACCAATAACACATAAAATAAAGGTTAAAAAATACCACTTCAATACTTCTAATAAAGATGCAAAAATCTATAAGACTAGAGACAAATTTAACAAAAAATATAAGACATCTGTGTAAAAATATCCACCTTTGTTGATGACATTAAAGAACACTCATGGAGAAATACACTATATTGCTTTATTGGAAAACACAACAGTATAATATAAAGGTGTCAGTTCTCCCCACACTGAAAGGCATGTGTTCAGTGCAATAGCAAACAAAATCCCAAAAGGAGTTTTTTATATGATTCTATAACTTTCTTATATGATTTTTATATGATTCAGTTACGAACATTAATATAACCAAAATAGTTTTCATATTTTAAAAGAAGAACAAGCTGGGAGATCTTGATGTATCACTATCAAAGCTTTTTAAAAAGGTATAGCACTAGGGGCCGGGTGCGGTGGCTCACATCTGTAATCCCAGCACTTTGGGAGGCTGAGGCAGGTGGATCACAAGGTCAGGAGTTTGAGACCAACCTGGCCAATATGGTGAAATCCTGTCTCTACTAAAAATACAAAAATTAGCTGAACATGGTGGTGGGCTTCTGTATTCCCAGCTACTCCGGAGGCTGAGTCAGGAGAATAGCTTGAACCAGAGAGGCACAGGTTGCAGTGAGCCGAGACTGTGCCACTGCATTCCAGCCTGGGTTACAGAGCGAGACTACATCTCAAAAAACAAACAAACAAAAAAAAAACAAAAAAAGGTATAGCAATAGGTACAATGTGTCAGCTGACCTGAAGACAGACAAATAGACAAACAGGCAAAAGTAGATAGCCCAGAAGTAGAGCCATGAACGCCTGACAGGATTTATGATGGTAACAGCTTTGAAAATCAGTGTTAAATTGCAGTCTTCAATAAATGAAACCCAGTTAATAGGGGACTCATACAGCAACATAAATATTTGTTTAATACACAAATTTACTAGAGATATTGGATCTAATTTATCTGGCAAAACATTTCTTATCTAATGAGATTTCCACAAGTCATTATTATTATTATTAAAAGACAAGCAATTCAGAAGAAAAATGGGCAGATACTTTAACAGTCACCTCTCAAAGGGGTATACACATGTTCGAAAAACCTGTGATAAAATGCTTTATGGTATTAGAAATTGAGAAAAAGCAAATTAAAATCAGAAGGATATAGCACAGATTCACTGAACTCACAAAAATTACAACAACTGACAAAAGCAAGTATTGCTGAGCACATAGAGTGATGGTAATATACCATGCTTTCAGAAAAACTTTTGGATCATGTATTATTAACAGGCAATTCCATTTCTGATCATGGACAATTAAGCATACGTACAACCGGATAAATGTACAATAATGCTTCTTCCAGCAATGTCCATGAATAGCTAAAACTGGAAATAATCCAAATAACCATTATCAGTCTAATGGGCAAATACCTTGCAAAATACTCAGACAATGGAACACTATAAAAAGTGCAAGGACTACGTCCTATGAAACATGGGTAATTAAAAATATTGTTTAGTGAAAGAAGCAAGGAATGAAGTGTTGTACACTTCCATTTAAATAAAGTTCAAAATTAAGCATAACTAAAATAGAATAGCGACACAGGCATGAGTGATGAGAATATAAGCAAAGAAAGGAAGTGACTGTCATCTAAGTCAGGATAGTGACTCTATGAATGGAAAGGTGACATCAAGAAGGGATGTTCAGGGGGACCAGGGGTTCTGGCAGTGTCCTAACTTTTGCTGTGGGTAGTGTTTATATGGGTGTTTACAATGGTTTGTTAAACAATATATTTTGTTTTATGTACTTTTGTGGCTGTATATCTCACAAAAAATGTTTTTAAACTGTATAATAATAATTTGTAAAATAAAACTTATACATTCTATGTAGAAATTCTTCGTGATGTTAGTACTTAATGGGAGGAACTGCGAAGACTTAGTTATGATTCATGACGCTTAAAAATGCCAATTGTACTTGTCACTTATACACAGTGTGATATATACCACATTCCTATCTACATCTATAGACGGAGGTGTAAATATAGATTCAGATATAGACACAGAGTGAGGATAGCTGTAGCATTGTGCTGCCACATTTATATTATTTGTAAATCTGAAGTGATTCAATTTGAGTTTTTCTGACATCAGATAAAATGAATAAACTTGAATTTTCACAGTGCTAAAGAATCTGAAACTCAGTTGTTATTGCATTTCCTATGAAAGAAAACATATTTTAACATCCTTCTCATGTTTGAATACTTGCTTATTGAAAGCTCCGCAAAGGTTATTTGAACACATTTGCACACTAATTTTTGTATGAGGCAGGTAGGAAGTTTATTAATATGAGACCCTCATATTTTCTAGAAGCTTATTCCTAAATACACACAGTTCTTTGGCAATGTTTTACCATTCACCAGGAGATATCTATGCGAAACAGTTCAAAACAACAGGACTATTTTCCACGGAAATTCAAAGATATGTTCCTCTAGACGATGGAGAAATGAATCTGGGAACTGAAGACATTTGAACTTTGCAGCATCTTCAGTTTCCATGGCTATAGGCTTCAGGATGTGACACATTCCGTTAACATATAAGCTGCCAATTTGCCTTGACATTGGATGACATGACCCCTGGCAAAACGTAGATTGTTTGGATTAGTTGTTTTCTATTGCATAGAAGCAAAATGTGTTAGAATAATGGGATGAGAATTTATAATTTTAATATGGCAGTCATCAGACTTTATGGTTCCTTTTGAGATTATCAATTATTTTATTCGTGAGAAATCATTTTAAAAAATAGAAACAAAACTTGGCCTTTAATGTTGAGTTACTGACTGTATTGACTACGTTAAATCCTGTGAAAATAACGGAAATTGTGTTTAAATACAGAAAGTGGCAGAAGCTACATTTTTTTTACCATTAAGGAAATTGTGCTTCCAACGCAAGTGAAAGTAGTTGTAAGTTTTGTCATTACAGGGGATCTAGTTTGACTAAAGAGTTCTATATGTTGGTAGAAATTTCTTTTTTTTTTTTTTTTTTTTGGTTTTTTTTTTTTTGAGACGGAGTCTCGCTCTGTTGCCCAGGCTGGAGTGCAGTGGCGCGATCTCGGCTCACTGCAGGCTCCGCCTCCCGGGTTCACGCCATTCTCCTGCCTCAGCCTCCCAAGTAGCTGGGACTACAGGTGCCCACCACCACGCCCGGCTAATTTTTTGTATTTTTAGTAGAGGCAGGGTTTCACCGTGTTAGCCAGGATGGTCTCGATCTCCCGACCTCATGATCCGCCCGCCTCTGCCTCCCAAAGTGCTGGGATTACAGGCGTGAGTCACTGCGCCCGGCCGGTAGAAATTTCTTAATTGGTCATGAAGGAAGGAAGGTTTGTTCCTGTCCTGTATTAACAGGCACCTGTACTGTGTCTGTCGCTTGAGAGTAAATGACTTCCTATGTTTAGAAAGGAATCTTTCTAAACATGTAAAACTGTAACTTGCAAATGCAGTCTACTTCACAAGGGAAAATATCAACAATGCTAGAATACACTTTTTTTTTCTATTTTGCCTGCTTAGTAATTTTGTTAAAAAAGAGAAATGATACGTAAGCAACTCCCTCCTAAATGTACACAGTGTTCCCCATTGATATGCTTTGGCTCTGTGTCCCAACCCAAATCTCATGTCAAATTGTAATCCCAACATGTTGAGGGAGGGACTTAGTGGGAGGTGATCAGATCATGGGGGCGCTTTCCCCCATGCTGTTCTCCTGATAGTGAGTAAATTCTCATGAGGCCTGATGGTTTTATAAGTGGTGGTTTCCCCTGCTCTCTTCTCTCTCCTGCTCCCTTGTGAAGAAGGTGACTGATTTCCCTTCTGCCATGATTGTAAGTTTCCTGAGGCCTCTCCAGCCACGCAGAACTGTGAGTCACTTAAACCTCTTTCCTTTATAAGTTACCCAGTCTCAGGTATGTCTTTATAATAGTGTGAAAATGAATTAATACACACATTGGCTTGTATATTAAAAATCTACACACTTTTTTTTTTTTTTTTTTGAGATGGAGTCTCGCTCTGTCGCCCAGGCTGGGGTGCAGTGGTGCGATCTCGGCTCACTGCAAGCTCCACCTCCCTGGTTCACGCCATTCTCTTGCTTCAGCCTCCCGAGTAGCTGGGACTACAGGTGCCTGCCACCACGCCCAGCTAATTATTTGCATTTTTAGTAGAGACGGGGTTTCACCATGTTAGCCAGGATGTTCTCGATCTCCTGACCTCGTGATCCACCTGCCTCAGCCTCCCAAAGTGCTGGGATTACAAGCGTGAGCCACCGTGCCCAGCCAAAAATCTACAAACTTTTAAGAATGTGGTCCAATGTCATTCTAAATGATATTGCAAGAATAGTGACTTTGAATCCATCTTATATCTCAGATGTGATACCAAGTCTAGTGGAATGTTGAGAAAGATGATAGAAACGGCATCATTCATTTTGTTGTTAGACACTATTGACTATGCTCTAGATTTGAGAAGGCAGAAAACCTGGTTTTGAGCCCCCACTATGCGATTTACTGGCTATTTGACTTTGAGGTGATTTTCTTTAAATTCGATAGAATAATGATAGTTACTGTGATGTTCTGGTAAGAAAATGTATCTGAATGTGTGAGAGAAGCCAGGGATGCACACTTTACTGAGCGGACACAGATTCTTCTTCAGCCACCCATTTCCTAGTTAAGGATGCCGGGCTGTGCCTCTCTGCATCCGTCATCAAACTTTTGATGAAGTTGTTGCCTCTCAGTTTTAGGTATGTCTCCTTCAAACAGCTTTTAATTAGATTGTGGAGATAAGGATTGACGCAATCATGGAGACTTTACCTTTTAATACACTCATTTCAAGTTCCACGATTGCTTTATTTGAGTCTTTTTACTGTATGGCACGTATCTTTTTTAAAAATTTATTACTGTGGTGGTTGTATCTAATTTATAAAAATGCTATGGAGTGAAAGTTTATGTCCCCCCAAATTCACATGTTGACACCCTAATGTGATGGTATTGGGAGGTGCAGACTTTAGGAGGCAGTTAGATCGTAAGAGTGGAGCATCCACGGCCGGGCACGATGGCTCACGCCTGTAATCCCAGCACTTTGGGAGGCCGAGGCGGGTGGATCACGAGGTCAGGAGATCGAGACCATCCTGGCTAACACGGTGAAACCCCATCTCTACTAAAAATACAAAAAATTAGCCGGGCTTGGTGGCGGGCGCCTGTAGTCCCAGCTACTCGGGAGGCTGAGGCAGGAGAATGGCGAGAACCCTGGAGGCGGAGCCTGCAGTGAGCCGAGATCGCGCCACTGCACTCCAGCCCGGGTGACAGAGCCAGACTCCGTCTCAAAAAAAAAAAAAAAAAAAGAAAAAAGAAAAAAAAAAACCACTGTTTTCCTGAAGTAGGTTTTCCTGAGGTTTGGGTTCTTTTTGTTGAGGTCTCTTGATATTCCTGTTCATTCAAAACTAACAGCTTATTCTTTAACCAGGCAGATCTACTCAAGTGCCAAGGTAGTTGGTGGATTATCTGCATAGCTTGGATTTAACCTGTTCTCCGTGTCCAGGATGGTGTCTGATTCTCTCAAAACGCATGTCAGAAGACGGTGCTGACCATCTCAGCCACTCAGTTTCCGCGAGCTTGTTTCTATGGGTCTGAGCGTTTGCTACCCCTGCTGGATTTTGTGGATATTCTGAACCAGTGGGCTACAGAAAAAAAGAACAAATCACATAATTACCAAGACAGAATGCTACCGTTGACCTTATAGTTGTAAAATAATGCAGAAATACATAAAATAACGACGGAAAGTGTTGCTTCAATTTCCTCGTTGTCCTCCTGCCACTGTTCCTGCAACGCCCAGCCTACTTTCCTCCTCAGAGATTTTAGCTTTTAACAATTTTGTGTGTCTTATAAACATACCCTTTGGCTTCTATATATGCATATAGATTCATACCTTAGTATTTCCTTCTATTTATTGTATAAAATATCAAGTTGGTGATACCCTATATAAGATTTCACAATGTGTTTCTATTTCCATAAATGTATATCCTAGATAATTTTTTCTTGTCAGTACATTTAAATCTAAACCTTTTCAATGGTAATTCAAACAAAATATTCTGTATTTTTGACACTTACTCTTTCAATAAATTTAGCTGTTCACAAATTTTTGCTTTTATAATAAATGTATTAGACATCCTTACAAATGTGCTCCTTTGAATATAACTACAAGTATTTCTGTTAGGTGCTAAAAAAGGAATTCTGGATCAAAAATGATAGGTATTTATCTTTTCAATCAATGACCCCAAGCTGCCCTCCAAGAAGGCTGCTTTAAATTAGCTTTCCCCAAAGCACCTACTTCTCAAATGCTTTCCAGTATAGATTTTTCATGAAGATGTTAAATTTTGGCAAGTACAATGAGAAAATAAGTTTTATCTTCAATAAATTTCCCATTTGTACTCTTTGCTCAACTTTTCTGGCTTTTATTTGCTTATATGTAGAACCTCTTTACATATGTTATATATAAAGTGTCATCTGTTCTGTATGTTGCAAATTGTTATCTCCAAGCTTTTTATTATTTTTTAGCTTAGTAGTCAACTAGGCCAACTTCTTTCTGTCTAGGTCCTGAATTTTGTTTCTTGTTTAAGAAGTTTCACCCTTTCAAAAATTTAAGCCTACTCTTATATTTTAAAGGATAATATTCAGCCCTTTAGTTCACTTCTTAGCTTTTGAGTGAGACATCAACCTGGAATTTGTTTTTCTAATTCCCCCAAACAGCATTGTATTTGTCCATTCTCACACTGCTATGAAGAACTACCTGAGACTGGGTAATTTATAAAGAAAAGGGGTTTAATTGACTCACAATTTCATATGGGTGGCGAGACCTCAGGAAACTTACAATCATGGCAGGAAGATTAAGAGAAAGCAAGGCATGTCTTACATGGCAGCAGGAGAGAGAGAGCAAGGGGGAAGTGCCACTTTTAAACCATCAGATCTTGTGAGAACTCCCTTGATATCATGAGAACAGCATGGAGGAAACTACGCCCATGATCCATTCACCTCCCACTAGGTCCCTCCCTAATTCGTGGGGATTACAGTTTTAGATGAGATTTGGGTGGGGACACAGAATGAAACCATATCAAGCATATAAAATGCATTCTCCTGCTTTGGAAAAAGAAAAAAAATCTGGGAAATCAGTGGCATTTCTGATTAGGATATCCACTAAACTGGAGGAAAATCACACCCCTCAATTCACTAGACCTGCTTGCAAATCTAAAATGGCATGCTAGTAAATTCATCAAAACATAAAGACTCTGCACTTTAACATCTATTCTTGTAAGAATTGCTTAGAAAAAAATTAAATATTATGTGCAATTTGTACTTGCCCTCACACAAGGAAGTTGCCAGTAAATAGAAACCAGATTATTATGTAGAAAATCACTTAACCACTCAGAATTTTTTAATGGGAGAATAGAAAAGAACTAACCCAAAGTGGGCTAGAAATACAGATCTCAGACCCCATGCTTAGAAGCAACAACTCTTTGTTTATACCCATGCAAGTATTACACTCCATTTCTAGCTGCATATTTCTCCTTACAGTTTGTGCATTTATGCTTCAGTTATTTAGTCACGATTAAGTATCTTTTTCAACTAACCATTTTTATACACGTTATAAACCTAGTTAAGAGTGGAATCGCTTCACAAATTGTTACAAAAAGGAATAAAAAATTACTGACCATTGTGGTAAAGTTTCAGAAGCTCACAGAACACAGACTGGAAAAGCACCAGTCTTTACACATCAGGGGCTGCAGGAAGCTTCCCCCTGTGTAGGCTTCATAGGCACACAGTGACTACTGAGAGTAATTGATATCTAATTACAACATTTAAACATTGGGTATCCCATAAGAGATGACTCTATTTCTGTAGGAAAAGACAGCAGGCACTCATTGGTTAACTGAGGCTTGGGTATGTCAACAGAGTGATTTCTGCTATACGTGGTTCATATGGGGCTCACGTCTGAGACCACTGAGGAGGTCTTCTTCAGAAAAGCCACCTTAGAACTGTAAAATCACTCGCTGAGGCCAAAATGTTTCCAGAAATGTGAGCAGTGTAAATAAATTCATCTTTCTTGTGTAGCATTGTCTTCAGTGAAGAGAAACATTTGGCAGGGCTGGCATTTAAGTTCAGTCTCAGCTTTTTTTCTTTTTTTTTTTTTTTTTTGAGACAGAGTCTCACTCTATCACCAGGCTGGAGTGCAGCGGCGCAATCTTGGCTCACTGTAACCTCTGCCTCCTGGGTTCAAGTGATTCTCCTGCCTCAGCCTCCTGGGTAGCTGGGACTACAGGTGTGCGCCACCACACCCAGCTAATTTTTTTTGTATTTTTAGTAGGGACGGGGTTTCACCATGTTGGCCAGGATGGTCTCGATCTCTTGTACTTGTGATCCACCCACCTCGGCCTCCCAAAGTGCTGGGATTACAGGCCTCAGCCTCTGTTCCCGGCCCCAGTCTCAGCTTGGATGCTGACCAGCTTGGTAATGTGACTCTCTCTCTCACTCTTCAGGTTTCTAATCAGTAATATCCATTTCTCCTCATCTCACCAAAATGTTGTGAGAATAAATGAGATAATAAAATGGATGTAATGTGCTTTGAAAGGTGCTAGATTAGTACAAGGTACAGTAATTAATTTTGTAGGCTATTATTAATAACCTATAAAAAATCTGAATGTCACTCTACACCAACTAACTATACCATGAACTGAGAACTAACAACTGGGTGTCAGAATATAGAGAGCATATATATATATTTCCATAATCCCTTTGTAGTAAAATTATTTGCAAGGCACTACATGCTTTGGGGGTTTTTATGCTTTAGAAACCTACTAACACAATATATCTGGTAGCCCCAAATCCTTTAATTAACAGACAAACTAGAGCAACCCAAATTCTGGACTCTATTAGTAAACATACTTTTTATCACAACTAAAGGTTAGCTGTACATATTTCAGCAGCAAAACAAGAGGAAAATATTTTATTTAAATACATTTTCTTGACCACAGAGAATAATGCCAACATTTGCAGTTGTGAGAATAATGCTCTTAGATTCAAATATGCAACATAATAAAACAAATGTATGATCGAGGACCAGAGAGGCAGACAAAACTGTTGTGAAACATGCCAGGGAAATCATTACTGTTCTGTTTATTGGCAGGTCACCAATACTTTGGGACTGTTGAAATTTGAAGGAAATGTAGAGGCCACCTTAATCAATACTATTTTTTTTTTTTAACACATCAGAATTTACTTGGTGAAAAATGTTTGCATAAGGGTTTTTGAAAAAAATATAGCTTGCTGCTACATCTCTTAAGAGGACAGATGATCCCACACGTATGGGTTAATGTAGGCATGTGATGATTGATCCATGAGCTTGGCTCTGGAGCCCTGCTGGAAGTACAATGGATAACTGTTCGGTCCTGCCTGAAATGCCCAGCACCCATCGCCCTCCGTCAGGACTCCCAGCTCCCCACTGTAGAGCCTGCTGCCCTGATACTTCTCCCAATCTCGGCTCTGACCTATCTTTTCCAGTCCAGTCACATGCTCTCCATCACCCTGCCTACCGCCCTGCTTTCCAATCATAATGAACTCATTGCTAAGAACCCTGAGAACCAGGCGACCTCTGCACTTCCATATTTTTGTACTTGTTCTTGCACCCTTTCCCTCTCCACGTGATCCCCATCATTGCTAGTGTGTCTTTTTTACCTGCCCAGTCCAATTGGTTGGTTCTTCAATTCTTCTTCCCTGCTACTTCCAGTGTAGAATTTAGACACTTTATATTGTAATTACTGGTTTACACCATGGATTCCCAGAGTGTCAGGACCTCTGTGTTCATCCATCACTTAGCATAGGATCTGAACCATGGTTGACACCTGGTGTGATCTGGTTCTGGGGAAGACTTGAAAGATATCCTGGATTTTCGTTGCTTCACACTTTCCATCTCTGCTACCCAACAGAAAGGAGAGGTTCGGGTAAAGCACATGAGCACTGATGTATTAGACAATTCTTTTTGATCTAAAGAGGAATTGCTATTACTCTTTCACTGACAGGAAACTTTCGAGAACTCCAGAATGCCCTCTCAGGCAAGCCATCCTGCCTTGCTGTGACCCTGCTGTCCTGTTCTCTACCTGATCCCAGAAAAGGCTAAAGGTTCTGTGGTTCCATTTCAGCCTTGGCAGATTCTAGCTTCACGTGGTATCAGAGTGCTATTGGGAGGTAGAAAGCATTGCAGAAAGTGCTATTGTAGGAGTCCCCAGGGGTCAGCTTACTCACAGTAAGGCTATGAGGATACCCTATAAAGGAAAAACACATACATACACACACACACACACACACACACAGGGTAAATTAGTAGAGACATATTTTGGAAACACTTTTGATTATGGATTTGTGGTGCTATAAAAACTCATAACTTTCAATAATTTTTCATTCATTTATTAATATTTACTGCATACTAGTATATGTCAGGCTCTGCAATAGGTGCTAAGTAACCCATAGTAAAGCAGACATCGTCCTCACACTCAATGAGTCAGCAAAGCAGAAAAATGGAACAGAATTCCAGTAGAGTGTTAAATACCTTGACAGAAGGAAGAAGTGAATGATTTGGTGCCTCAAGTGGCATAAGGGGTTCGAGTGCCTGTAAATTTAAGTGTCGGCCTTGGCTTGGCTTTTCAGAAATTGCAGAAACTCTACTTGTAGATAGAAATTAGGTGCAGCTTGTTTTCACAGAATCTGTGTAGGATCTATACCATGTTTTAATTCGTGATAACATATTAAAGCTTTCTGGAAAGTGTCATATACCTAATAAAACACAACTTTTTTTCTGATTATAAAGATAACTTCTTATTAATGGTCCGCACTATTACAAATATTTCTTGTAATCTTTTCTTCAGTCATTGTTCAAAAAATCATAGCTGCTGTCAGGTACTTTATAAAGGAGAGGTGATGGATAAACTCATGAAGAAACTTCCAGTGCAATCCATTTCTAGAAATTCCTCTCTTTTTTTTCAACAGACAGTAATCAGGAAGAGTGGCCACAGTTACATCTAAGGTCATCGGAAAGCTGAAGAAGAGATGATGTGTCCGGTTGATAGGTGACAGGTGGGGTGAGCAAGGAGGGCAGATAGAAGGGTAAAAATATATTATGTGATACAGTTAACATTACGTTAATCAAAAAGCACCTTTATTTAGTTGGTCCACAACTTCTGTTTCTGTGTGACTAAAAAGTAAACAGCTAATATCAGGTATTCATTTTGTAGTAGAACCAATTTTGGTGTGTGATAGGGTTAAAACAGATTGGATCTGACATTCTAAGCAACTCCATATGCAGTTCTGGACACTGACTGCTGTTTTGAATGTGCTGGCCGCTAAAAACACATTTTTGTGACTATCAAGTCAGATGAAGAGTATTTGAAGGAGCTGAATTTTTATTTCAAGAAGAGAAGATTATATTTTCCTCAAGTATGAGAATGATGAACTTAAGTATGAGGGAGATGAATTTTATTATGTATAGTGCCTAGAGGTAGAGATTGGGCCACTTAATAAAAGGTTCAGGGGACAGAGTGCAACTTAGTATTGAGTCTTGTCTTCTCTTGGGAAATGGTGCTATGGTTTGAAGGTATACTCCCGAAGCATGTGTTGGAAACTTAATCCCCAGTGCAACAGTGTGGAAGGATGGGACCTTTGGGGTGGTTAGGCCATGAGGGTTCTGCCCACTTGCGTAGATTTATGAGATCATCAAGGGAGTAGGTTAGTAATTGTGAGAATGGGTTTCTGGTAAAAGGACAAGTTTGGCCGCTCTCTCTCTCTCTGTTTCACGTGCGCATGCACCGTCTCTTGCCCTTCTGCCTTGCACCATGGAAGGCCGTAGCACAAAGGGCCTAACCAGATGTGGGCCCCTTGATCTTGGACTTTCCAGCCTCCAGAACTGTAAGGCATAAATCTCAAGCCGGCTCAAGCCATCCTGGCACAACTCAGACTGCTGCTTCAGAAGATGCAAGCGGTAAATGTTGGTGGGTCCATATGGTGCTAACTCTGAGATGCCCAGAGTGAAGAAGCTTGGGGGCATGGCCTCCTCCACCTGGTTCCAAAGGATGTCTTGGACAGCCCTGGGGCCCAGGAAGAGACTTTTGTTGGGGTCTAGCTTCTGCAGAGAGTCCCTGTTAGGGCAATGCCCAGCAGAACTGGGGTAAAGGCCACTGTAGAGACCCTGGAACTATAGAGCTACTGGTGTGCAACTCTATCCTGGGAGAGCCATGGCATGGCTTGAGCCCAGCAAAACCATGGGAGTGGGGCTGCCTGAGGCTTCGGGGGCCCAATCCCTGCCCCAGTGTGTCCAGAAGGTGGCACATGGAGAAAAAGATTATTCTGAAGTCTTAACACGTAATACTGTTTGCCCTGTTGGTTTTGGGGCTTACTTGAGAACTGTTACTCCTTTCTTCTTTCCTGTTGTTCCCTTTTGGAAAGGGAATGTCTATCCTACGCCTGTTTTACTATTGTATTTTGAAAACAGATAACTTGTTCAATTTCACAGACTCAGTTGGAGGAAAATTTGCCTCAGGGTGACTAGTGCCTTTTTTCTCACCCATGTCTAATTTAGATGAGACTCTGGATTTTGGAGTTTGAGCTGATGCATTAAGGAGTGCATTAAGATGTTGAGGGGTTATTGGGAATTCTATAACTGAACTGGTGGTAGTTTTGGCAAAACTGTTGCTTGCAAAAAAGGCCAATCCATATGCAGAGTAAATGTCCATTCTAGTAAGCACAAAATGTTGCCTCTTCCATTATGGATGTTGTCCAGCATAATCAGCCTGCCATCACGTAACTGGCTGATCACCCTGGGAAATGGTGTCATAACAGGGCTCAGTTTTGGTCTTTGCTACTGGTAGATTTGGCACTCCGTGGTGGCTACAGACAGGTTGGCCTTGATGAGTGGAGGTCCATATTGCTGAGCCCATGCATAACCTCCATGCTGCCACCACGGGCACTTTATTCATGAGCCCATTGGGCGATGACAGGCAAGGCTGGGGAAATAGGCTGACTGGTATCCACAGAATGGGTCATCCTATTCACTATTGAGACATTCCATACAGCATTTCTTCTGACCAAGGATATTACTTCACAGGCAAAGAGGTGTGGCAATGTGTTCGTGTTTATGGAATCCACTGGTCTTATCATGTTCCTCATCAATCTGGAACAAATTTCTTTGGGGGGGTTGGCCTTTTGAAGATACAGTTCTAGTGTCAGCTAGGTAACAAGTTCCCAGGGTTCTCAGTCTTTTGTAGTGTTTAGGCTGTGTAGGTTTTCTAGAAGGCTGTGTAGGTTTTCTAGAAGGCTGTGTATGTTCTGAATCAGCAGCCAATATATGGTGTTTTTTTTTTCTCTGATAACCAAGATTCATGGGCCCAGGTATCAAGGAGTGGAAATGAGATTGGCACCACTCATCATTACCGCTACTGATCCATGGGGCCAACTGACTTCCTGGTTCCATGACTTTATTTATTCCTGGTTCCATGAGACCTCTGCTGGACCAGAGGTCTCAGTTCTAGAGGGAGAGATGTTTCTACCAGAAGGATTATCACTTTGTTACTTTGGACTCTTCATGCCTCTGAGTCAAAAGACTAAAAAAGGAGTTCCAGTATTGGCTGGAGTGACTAACTCAGGTTACCAAGGGCAAATTGGACCATTTTTCCACAATAGAGGTAAGAAGAGCATGCCTGGAATACAGAAGATATCTTTGGGCGTCTCTTAGAATTACCATGCTCTGTGATTAAGGTCAATGGAAATTGCAACAACCCAATCCAGGCAGGACTTCAAATGGCCCAGCCCCTTTAGAAATGAAGGTCTAGGTCACCCTGCCATGTAAAGAAACATGGTTAGCTGAGGTGCTTTCTGAAGGCAAAGAAAATATGGAATGGAGTAGAAGATGGTTATAAATACTGGCTATGACCACAGGACGAATTACAGAAACAAGGACAGAAATTGTCAGCAGTATTCCTCCCTACTCTGTTATGAATATGTTGCAAGTACATATATGTGGATCAAGCAAATGTCTTTTTTTATTCCTGTATTATATCTTTATCATATAATATAAGAATTATTGGCTTTCCATTAGTATTTAAGTACTGTTAATTTTACATCATAGTGTTTAGGTCAAGGGATATCAGGAAAAGAGTGAACATCACCTAAAGACTTTACTTCCTCTTCTGTGGAAGGGATTCGTGCATTTTGGTTGTACACCCAAACTAAAACTATAGTTTTATTATGTTAAGCAGAAATATTAGTTTGTTATTGTCATTATTTGGAGATTAAATATAACTTAAAGAGTAGTGTATGGGTGTCAAGTCAACAAAAGGTGGGCCTTTTTTTTTTTTTTTTTTATTTAGACGGGGTCTTACTCTGTCACCCAGGCTGGAGTGCAGTGGCATGATCACAGCTCACTGCAACCTAGGCTTTCTGGACTCAAGCAATCCTCCCACTTCAGTCTCTCGAGTAGCTAGGACTAAAGAGGCGTTCCACCATGCCCAGCTAATACTTTTGCATCATAGTGACAGTGTTGCCCATGCTGGTCTTAAACTCCTGGGCTCAAGTGGCCCTCCCACCTCAGCCTCCCAAAGTGCTGGGATTGCAGGCATGAGCCACTGTGCCCGGCCGAAGGGTGGACTTAAGACGGTTAATTTTAGGTGAAAAGTTGTCTGGATTAAGGTAAACCTAGAAAAATAATAGAGCACTATTTCTGGATGTGTCTGTGAGGGTGTTTCCAGGAGAGATTGTGCTGTGCGTCAGTGAACTGTGTGGAAAGCTCTGTCCTAAATGTGGATAGGTACCATCCAATCAGCTGGGGGCCCAGGTAGAATGAAAAGGCAAAAAAGGTGAATTCTTGCTCTATCTGCTGGAGCTGGGAGACCCTTCTTTTCCTACCCTTGGACAGAACTCCAGGTTCTCCAGGCTTTGAAATCTCAGGCTTGCACCAGAGGCCTCCAGGGTTCTCATGCCTTCAGTCTCTGCTGAGTTACACCATCATTTTTTCTGTTTCTGAGACCTTTCTACCAGCATCCCAGGGTCCCCACCTTGCAGAATACCTGACATGGGGCTTGTCAGCCTCCATAATTGCATGAGCAAATCCCCTTAATCCCCTGTCATCTCTCTCTCTCTACATATATATCCCATTGCTCCTGTCTCTTTGGAGAACTCTGATTAATACTAATGGTAAGTTGTTCATCACTAGAAAGATTTGTTTACTGATCAGAGAATCAATTTTGGAGGGTTTTAAAGAGTAGGTTGAAGCATTATATGGGAGATTGGTACAGATGAACTTTTAGGGTCCCTTCTAGACTACAAGTTCTGTAAGTCAAGTGCTCTCCAAAACACTTAATGCCTTTTAACAATGAAGATTAAACTATGTTCAGTGTGGCTTAAAATGTTAATTTTATTTTATGTTAACTGCTTGAAAGTATGAAATAGACACTTCACTCAATTGCCCATTTCCTTTTGGTCACAAGTTTGCTATGTTTTCGTAGATCTAATTGGCTTTTGTTGGATATATACTGATTGGCAATTTCAATACATTTCCATAACATGGTGTAGTAGGAGGTTCACCTATATTTGGAGTTACATAGGTGAGTTTTAAAAATTGAGTTGAAAATCATGTTTTTGCTTGGTGCTCATCTTCACAAGTGTCCATTACGATGTTATAAGATGATGGATAAGTGTATTTTATGAGCTACCTGGGGAAACATCAGCTTAGGGTTTATCACAGCAGCTCCTCTGTGGATGGTGACATGGCATGATTGCCCCATGCATTGTCCCAATGCATCATGATTGATGACCATGCTGCAGAGATTACACAGCAAAAATAAGGGAGACTGGCTGTGGTGGCTCACACCTATAATCTCAGCATTTTGGGAGGCCAAGGCGGGAGGATTGCGTGAGCCCAGGTGTTCAAGGCAAGCATGGGGCAACATGGCGAGACCCCATGTCTACAAAAAATACAAAAAAATTAGGTGGGCATGGTGGTATACAACTGTGGTCTCAGCTACTCACGAGGCTGAGAATCCTCCTGAGAGGAGGGAGAATCACTTGACCTAGGAGGTTGAGGGTGCAGTGAGCTGTGATCACATCACTGCACTCCAGCCTGGGCAACAGAGGAAAATGCTGTCTTAAAAATAACAATAGAAAAGCATAACAAAGACCCAGGGAAAGAGCTGGGCATGGTGGCTCACCCCTGTAATCTCTTGTGATTACTCAACTTGTGAGGCTGAGGAAGGAGGATTGCTTTCAGGCAGGAGTTTCAGACTCTGTCTCTAAAAAAATATTTTGACTCCGGGCCGGGCATGGTGGCTCACGCCTGTAATCCCAGCACTTTGGGAGGCCGAGGCGGTTGGATCACGAGGTCAGGAGATCGAGACCATCCTGGCTAACATGGTGAAACCCCGTCTCTACTAAATGTACAAAAAATTAGCCGGGCATGATGGCGGGCGCCTGTAGTCCCAGCTACTTGGGAGGCTGAGGCAGGAGAATGGTGTGAACCTGGGAGACGGAGCTTTCAGTGAGCAGAGATTGCGCCACAGCACTCCAGCTTGGGTGACAGAGTGAGACTCCGTTTCAAAAAAAAAAATTTTTTTTGACTCAAAAAGCATCGGAGAAAACTGTGCATTTCTATGGAGAGGCATGCAGAGGTAAGATCTAGGACAATAAGGTGTGATCCAATAGTAATCACCTGGAGTGAACCTGGCAAAGCCTGGTTGTTCAGATTTTTCTTGGCCTCTCTGTGACAGTTTCTCTCCAGGTATAGAGGGTACAGGGCAGGACACCTGTCACATGAACTTCTTCAGGGGAGGAGTGAGGGAGAAGATCAGAGAGTGACCTTCCTGCTTCTGAGGTTTTCTCAATGTCGTTCAGCTTAAAATATTCAAAATGATGAAGTGCCATATTGTGGGGTATGGTGTTGTGATCCCCAGCACAGCCAATGCAGAGAAAGGCATCAGAATATGAAGTGCTTAAGAAACAAAAATTATCATGCAGAGGGAAAGTAATGAGGAAAATAAAGGCCTGACTCAAGTGTAAATAAAGCTGATTGCAGAAACAATAATTCCTTTGCTTACTCTTTTCAGCTGATATATATCTTTTACATAACCAACACTGAGATAATTAGAATCCCTTCCCAATTTCAACACATAAGTTCTATCTCACTGTTGCACAATTTATTTGGAGGTATGATACATAATTTTTCGTAGATATTTATCAGGTGCTTATTTCATAATTATTTCAATCTTAAAATAATTGACTAATATCAAATCGTAGCTTGTTAAAAATGAAAATTATCTACAGTATATTTTCAAATGACAAGTGTAGGTTTCATGTAAAAATTAATGAGACACAGTGGACATAAGTCTACAATTTTACATATTACTCATATTGTAATATCTTCATTATTTTGGATTTGATAAAGAGAAAATGTTACAGATTGTCCTTCATTTTCTTTTTCAAGAATACTGGAAAACACTGCAGTATTGGTTATCCTGAAACTCGTGGTATTGATCTGTATGCTTGTGGCTTAACCGCAGTTTTTTGGTTCTTATGTGTGTACATAGCATAAAGAATGATTAAAAATATCCAACAGTAAGTTTTGAATTGGTACATAACAGTAGTGATCAATACAAATACGTATATTTAAGTCTACTAAAGCCAAACTCCTCAAATAATAAAATTTTAAATTACCTTTAAGATTTCCCAAACGGAATCATACTCATCCCCTAAACAGCTTGTAGCGATTTCATTTTAGTCTAGGTATAGCAGCTCAGCATTTGTGCCTGATCACGGCTGTACTTCACTAAACTCAAATCAGAAATGTTATTCTGTCTTGAGAGCCAGTGCACTTCCACAATAGGAGTTCATTTGACCACAAGCTGGTGTTCTCCACAAAGTCACTTGTATTTAAATCAGAGACACAAACCCCTTTCTTTGGTTCCTCTACCCCTCCCCCTCTGCCGCCCGCCTGGGTATATTTTCCTTAGCATGTGTAATGTTAATTGGAGTTACATGTGTGCGCTTGGATCTGAATATACTTCCAGATGTGACTTTTGTAAGCAAGTTCTTTCAGACTGAGCCCTTTCATATTTCAAATAAAATTGTACCACACAAGATATCTTCAATTAAAAAAAAATCTAAAGGACACAGCCATTAGTATGATTAAACACAACATTAAAAAATATTAAATTACATCTATATTCTGAATTAGGTCATCTGATTTTGGTTCTTGATTTTCTCTTCTGTTCCACTTTAAAAACTGCACAGATCCTGGAGGTGTGATCTTAAACTTAAGGACTAAATCTGTGTTATTCACTGTAAAAAATCATTTAATCCTATTTGGCTTTGTAGAAAACTGAGGACAATATTAGAAATTTTATAAGGTAAAAATGTATACAAAGTGTTGTCAGCTGCCTACAATTAATTTTATTTGTACCTTTACCCGCTGTTTTCATTATTTTGTAATGACAGTAGATGTGATACATGAGAAATAACCGCTTTTGTGTATATCTTGCATCGTAGCTGGAGAGGAAAGCAGGGTTGAGACAGGATGAGAGGGCTAAGTGTGAAAAGAATGAAGAAGCAATTAAATCTCACTTCCTACAAGGTCTATGCAAAAGCACAAAATTATTTCCATGGTCATGTGGCCAAGTCTGCCTTTATTTGGCAGGAATTCTCTTATCTTTTAAGTCAATGAGTCTTAATTTTCTCCAACAGAATTAAATGAAAGCTGAATCTCAGTAACAAAGGCAGACTTGTCTCTTAAAAACATACGCACTCCTGTGTCCTGTAGCTAAAGGAAATACAGCTAAATTTTGTCATGTTTGGTGAAAAATTATAATAAATAATACTCCAGAGCAAAGCATTTTATACTTAAAATCCAGAGAAACATTGGTTTTACTCAATCAAAGGAAATGGGGGAAAATCCACCATGAGCCATGATATGCTCCTCCAATAACACTCGGAGCTGAATTCTAAGCCATTTGCCAAGAGCTCATTTATAACTCTCTGCCTGGTTCTACTTCATTGGCAAAGGCAGATACCAAAACAAGTAATTACCATAATTATTTTGGTCCAAGATTAAATCCTTTTGGAGGGTACACATTTGTTTTTGTATTGGATTTTTAATAGTCATATACATCTGAATACAATTTCCATTACACCTATTTATGAATACCAAAATATTTGTCCCAGTCATAGTTGGATGGGCTGATAATTCAAAATATTCCTATCTCCTTTCGACTCTTTACTGTTGCATCTTTTCATCACCACCTTAGTTTCCATCTCTCTACTTTGGGAGGTACAGCAAATAACATGCATAATTTAATTTTGAGCTTTTAAAAGCAAAGAAGTAGATTTAGTTTTTCCCCAGATCATTTTATTAAGGAAATAGTCTTACAGCTAAGAAAAATCCAATCTGAAATACAAAAATGAAACAAAAATGCACAACGATATATTTTATTATATGGGCTTGTTTTGATCAATCAATCAAACAGACCAAAAATTCTTTAGGTCCATATTTCAATGCAGATATCGATGGGGGAGGTTAAATCCAAGTCTCCAATGTTTAATGAGGTGTCTATTTCATTCTTATTAACTGAAATACTTTAAAAACTAAAGTGGTTAAACTTAATAATTTTATTAGACTGTAATAGTTATTTTATTAACATTTTTCTCCAAGGATTTTTCTGTCTGATTATGAGTACTTTGCAATTTCAGACAGTATGATGGATGCTACTTTTCTATGACAAGAATTTTAACAGCCTTCCTCAGCACTCAATGCACACCCAATTATGCGTCTGAGCTAGTAACCTTGAATTTATGTTGCCATGGTGACAAACTGGTCATGCATTATGGATTATCATTGAAATTCTACACTCCTACCTAGCATAATGAGAGTTGGGGACTTAATCAAATCAGCCATTCTGTGTGACACAAAGTGAAGAACTAGCTCTTATTGTTCAGCGCCGAGAAAGGAAGCAGGCCTGCCGGGGAGGCAGCTGCAGTGCTCCAGCCTGATAGATGGCCCTTATATACATTTGTGAATGTATAGACAGATGGTGCTCAATGCCTGGAATTTCCAGCTTAGGCGGCAGCTGTTCGGATAACCTCTGCCGTCTCACCTTGTTGTCATGGAACATTGAACAGAGACTGAGAATGTGCACGGATACGTTGACAACTGACTGCATTTACACTGCATGGCATCCTCCTTTTATCTTAAGACGCTGGGCTAGAAGGAAGGCAGAGTGAGGGTAGACGAGATGGGTGGGGGAGGGCAGACAGGAGTGCAAGCTTTGGAAGGCCCAGAGCCTGGTGCTAGAATATCTCCCATTGCCATTTTATATGAAGACAGACAGACAATGTTAGAGTGGTAATCTTTGCCTTGGAAAAATCTAGTTTGCTGCTTTTTCAAAGGCCAGAAATCATATGCAGAGCCTATCCTTGGATATAGTTGAAGCTTCCTCTTCCCCCATAGGTAATAGGTATCTTTGTTATCTCTTTGCCTGTTACAGAGACAAAATAGCAGCAACTTAAGGTCAAAAGGAGCAGGTTGGATGTCAGGTCAGCATCTCAACAGAGATGAAAGCCCTGACTTCACGTGGTTACTCTTTTTCCTGAACGTGCTGAGGATAAACCAGTGGAGAAACAGCCGTGGGTACTTCCCGATTGGAAATAGTTTTCACACAGATAGACTTATTAAATAATCTTTCTGTCTGTCAGAAATTATTGAATTAATGCAATGCTTTAGAAAGGCAGCTGCTTGTGAACAGAACATCAAGGTCCTCATGGAGCTCTCAGGTTCCACAGGAGTGTTTCTTAACCAAGGAATGAAGATACATGATTAAGCTTGCAGTACACCTGCCCCCTTCCTCTCTCCCCCACCGCATCCCAGGGTTGTTGATGACGTTGTGGTCATTAATCACTCCATAACCCCACGCTTTACAGGACCTTCAAAATGCCACCGGTGGCATTCTACCTGCTGATTGCTTTCATGTGAAATTTTCTATTTGCTTAATTTTGTGATTTTTTAAATTATTTTTTATTTCCTTCCCAAAGTCAGAATTTAAAACTGCCTCAGCCACGTGATTTGGGAGGCTTATTCGTGTGTGCATGGAGGAAGGCCTTTCTTAAATATTTCATGAGGATTCGTGCCTCTGGCCTGATCGGCTAGACCTCTCTGACTGCAGAATAAGTGAAAATGTTGTAACAACGGAACATGCTTTGACCCAGTAGATTATAACTGCTCTGAAAAAGCCATCGCACTCTCTTAGGTAAATGCCTAGCAGCCTGTGGGATATTCTGGTAAGGTCTAGGAGACAGGAAAAGCTCTGTAGCCATGCTATCCATACCTGTGGCCAGTAAGAAGGTGGCTTTTTATATGTCTTGAAATCAGGTCAATATTACACATTTAAAAGCTTCTTGGGAGCTATTCTTGACACCTAGGGAATTGTATGCATTGAAAATTTTAAGAATTAATGGAAAAGTTTTTGTTATTTCTGAGTGCTTTTCTGAGCTATCTATGTATACATAGACATAAAGACTTAATCTAGATTTTAAGCATGTAAAACTGTCATTAAAACAATAATATTATATTAAAAATAAACTGTAATATTTGCCATAAAATTAAATAACTAAATGAAAAATGTAGGGATAAAATCTGCAACCACCTAAATATATTTCTAAGCATCTGTCTTATATGAATATGTCTTATGTTTGGGTGGAGGAAGTAGTTTATGTCAAATATAAAAAGACAACATTTATTTGAATTCTGCATCTTTGTGTCCATGCATAAGCAACATTTTAAATATAGAATCACCAAAAATATTTTACTCCAATTCTCAATTTTCCTGTGTAGCATCACTTAATGGATGGTTTTATTCTTCCTATAAAAGTGTTATAAATGGCCATACTGAGAGCCTATATCCAAATGGTATTTTTGACTCTAATTACATATTTTAAATTTTTGAACAAAAATAAAATAAGAGATAATGTATTTTTCAATTAATTCTTCAAAACTACTCATATATAAATATGCTCTGGACAGATATATTTAAAATGGTCACAATTAAGTCATTTTGTTTATTTTCTTTAAAAGTAATTATGTAGGTGTTATCTTAGCCAACAGAAAATTTTTTTCTAAACATGAAAATTATTCACATTTGATGAAAATTTCTTATTTTTAAACTTTCTTTGCAAGTTTTCCAGTTTTCAACATATATTAAATATCTAGATATTAACTAATTAAACATGCAATAAATATAGAAGCAAATTCAAAGGATACATTTCTAAAGCCAAAATTTATTGACTGGAACTTAGGTATTACTCCAATGTTTAAAATCGAAAGCATATTGTCAATTGCAGAGGTTGAACCATGGAAGTTGGACCATCCCTTAGGGTCAAAGGAGTCTCTTCACTGAACTCCTGCCTTATTTGGTTACATCCTCAACCGATCCTAGCAAGGTAAGAATTATCTCACAGCATTCTTTTTAGTTTATCTAAAATTTTTCTTAGTGGGTTATCATTTGAAAATGTTCATGAAAACAGACCTACAGATAAAAAATGTTTTTTTTTTATCATGCTTGTATAATTTCTATTTTTTGTGTGTGATTTCACTGTCTCCCACACATGGAACCACTATTACCATCCCTCTTGTTAAATAAGTTACTAGAACCCGAGGATGTGTAAAGCTAAATTTTCATTTTATGTAATTATATTTATTAAACATGTATTAAAATTGCATACGGGTTGGGAATGGCATGGTGAGAAGAATTCTTAAAGGAGAATATATGAAAATGTGTTTTCCTGTCCTTAGGGCTCTTGGAATTTAGACTGGATATTGAGAAATGGGCTGGGCGCGGTGGCTCACGCCTGTAATCCCAGCACTTTGGGAGGCCGAGGCGGGTGGATCACGAGGTCAGGAGATCGAGACCATCCTGGCTAACACGGCGAAACCCCGTCTCTACTAAAAATACACAAAATTAGCCGGGCGTGGTGGCGGGCGCCTGTAGTCCCAGCTACTCGGGAGGCTGAGGCAGGAGAATGGCGTGAAACCGGGAGGCGGAGCTTGCAGTGAGCCGAGATCGCGCCACCGCACTCCAGCCTGGGCGACAGAGCGAGACTCCGTCTCAAAAAAAAAAAAAAAAAAAAAAGTGAAACTGGCCTTCCCGCGTCCTGCTGGTATCTGGCTCTATGGCGGTGAAACTGGGAAACAAAAACGCCCTCAGAGCCGCCAGTGTCCGTGCCCCACTCCCCAAGCTTCCACTCCAGAGAGACTTCCACAGGAGAGGCAAACAGCAGCCGGCGATTTCCAGCTCGGCTTCACCAAATGTGCTGGTGCATCATGGCTCTTATTGCATGGCTGTTGGCCGCGGAAGAAACGTAAGGCGGCAACCTCAGAGCTTAAGCTGCGCCAGCACCCTTTCCTTCCCCTCCGGCCCTCTGTGTGGCTCTGTCTATTGGTGCCCATGTACCAGGATGGTTGGGTCCTCTTGCTGTCATAAGTGAAGCAGCACAGTTTCAGAAGTGTGTGTTCTAGGAGAGTAGTGTACTACTTTGCTGTGAAAAACCAGAGTGAACACCGTTGACCTGTGTCTTGGCTGCCTTTAGCCTGCTGAGGCTGTGGCTCCCTTCCTGAAAAGGAAGGTCAACCCAACCATCCGAATTCAAACAGGCTTCTCCCTCCTTCAGAATCCCTCGGGTATGAGTGTCAGCTTTGAAAACGAATGAACCTGCTCCTGAAGCAATGCGGCCTCATTGAGGAGAAGTCAACACCCTCACCGAGATGCAGACTCTTACAGGTCAGGAAGCCAGGCCAGGACTGAGAGGGGTAGATGACAGGGCTGAGAGCTGAGTTGGCCCACAGCTTCACTTGGTCAAAGTCAGGTCAACCCGGCCTTCAAACATTTCCTCCTCTCTTTTTCTGCTTTACCGCAGCCTACTCTGACCCTGGGATCTCTCCTGACCTAACCTGCTCTCAAGCTTTTGCAGTTGCTAAGGGGAAATTTAACATGTGTTCTGGGAATACCTCCACCCGACTCACCTGAGAGCACGGGCCTATATTTAGGTGGTGAGGTGTGAACTACAGCCAAGAAGAGGGGAAACTTGCCCTATTCCTCCTGCTTCCTTATTTCATGAGAATGTATTTCTTCAGCCACAGGGTACAATTGTACCCTGGAAGAGCCAGATGGAGGCCAGGGGAGCAGAGGCATCAGGATGCGATGAATAGATGAGGTTCCCCAGGAAGATGCAGAACGTGGGAGAAGCATTGCTCCTGGGTTCTTCCAGCCACGTCCTCCCGCCCTCCTTCCTGCACAGCCTGTGTGTATGCATATGCACCTATGTCTGTGTGTTTGTGCATAAAATGTGGGAACAACATGGCTTAAGGCACCTGTTTTTAAATATCTTTTAAGCAGCAGAGCAATTTTCAAGTAAAATTCTAAGAAATCTGGTCTCTAGTGCAGATTTCAGGAAATGTGGGCTGAAGTGGCATTGTGGCCTGCTCCTCCCCCAGGTCAGTCCTTCCTCTCACAGAATTCCCATAGTTCCTGGCAGGGTATGGAGAATCCCTTCTATTCAGGAAGAGAATGTGAAAAACCACTGGTCTAGAAGAAAGCGGGAAAATGAGTGCAACACCACCAAATTCTATGAAATCTTGAACAACGCTCTTAGCATTTCTGTCGCCTTATCTGTAACATGAGGAAATCATACCCCCTGTGTGAAAGACTTCTTGAGCTAAAGAAATTCAGCACTGAAGAACATAGAACATAAGATAATGGTGAACTATCCATGTGATGTTGCCTGATTTCCTGAAAATCTGTTCAGAAAAAAAGGGTGTGGAGTTACACTCTGAATAATCATAGACAATCTCTAGGAAATTTTGGGAACAAAATAAATTATAACAGATGTTTAGGAAATGCACCCATCAGTATGTTCATATACTTACCATTGATACCCCACATATATATTATATATATAAATATTATATATATTATATATTACATACATGTGTATATTATATATATTATGCATGTATATATGTATATATGTATTATATATTATATTATATATATAATATTTATATATTATATATACTATATAGTATATATAATACAGATATAGTCTATATAATATATATTATATAGATATAGTCTATATAATATATATTATATAGATATAGTCTATATATAATATATAGACATGATTCTATGTTTTTTATATATATATATATATATATATATATATATATATATGAAGAAAAGTAGTTCATTCAGGTTCAAAATTAACTTATTGTCAAATTGAAAAATTCTTGTTTAATTTTCATCCGTGACGTTAACTTGCTCTTTGCTTGGTAGAATTGGATTTGCTCAGAACACCGTCCAGCAACTACAGAGGAGACCCAGCTAATGTAAGGGAATTTGCTCAGACTTTGTGAGCCACACCTTCTCACGAGACCCTGATGGGAGCCTGAGTCATCTGCAAAGTGACCTCCCGCCCTCCAGGTCTGTGCCCTCCTGACTGCAGAGCAGCCCCTTGGCTCAGCATCCCTCTCACTCCACGACACCACAGGAGTGGAGGAACAGATATTAGGTATGAAGTAAGCGATATAGTTCGGCTGTGTCCCCACCCAAATCTCATCTTGAATTGTAGCTACCAAAGCCCCATGTGTCATGGGAAGGACCCAGTGAGAGGTTATTGAATAATGGGCGTGGGTTTTTTTCTGTGTTGTTCTCATGATAATGAATAAGTCTCATGAGATCTGATGGTTTTATAAAGGCCAATTCCCCTGCACACACTCTCTTGCCTGCTGCCGTGTAAGAGGTGCCTTTGCTCCTATGCCTTCCACCATGACTGTGAGGCCTCCCCAGTTATGTGAGACTGTGAGGCCTCCCCAGTTATGTGAAACTCTGAGTCCATTAAACCTGTTTTTCTTTGTAAATTACCCAGTCTTAGGTATTTCTTCATAGCAGTACGAAAATGGGCTGATACAGTAAAGGAAAGCTTATTTGGTTTCCCTTTGCTGTGGCCAAGTCAGTCCTGGGGCATTTAGAACACAAGTCAGTCAATTGTGCTTTCTTTAACAATACAATTCTTCACAAAAAGGGTGGCCAAATGTTGCTGTTTTCCTGCGATGGTCCTGGTTTCTTCCTACTGACCTCACGTAACTATTAAGAGCATTTTCATTCACTACCAAAGGTGTAAAGTTGAATAATCAATATTATGGTCAACCTATTCATTAACATGATTACATATTGTCATTAATTTGTATTACTATTATAAGTCAAGATTCTAGATAAAACAAAGTTGAATTAACTATATCAATAAGTACTATATAAGAGCTTCATTATCTGAATTTAAACTATTACTTATCAGTGCCTAAATTAGTTCTAACATTCTTATTAGGGTTACACAAAAACAGCCTCTGCCTTTCAACATTTCTTCAATGAAGTAGAAACAACCCTCAATCTTTTAAGACTCTTCAGCGGTGACCATGCTGCTGCGTGGTTCATGCTGTTAAGTCACGTGTTTCAGGGTTGATGTCTAAGCAGCAGTGACATAAAATTCCGATGTCACCATGCTCAGCTGTTCTCCAACCTGGCCTGACTCGCACTCCCCTTGGTACTCTCTGAAGTCATAGTGCTGGGTGTGTTCATTTTATTTTTTTCTCTCATCTAAGACCCAGAACAGAAATGCTCTGAGCTATGGTTCACAAGAAGAGAGAACAAACAGGATGCCACAGCTGCGCAATTTGAAGGTAGCAGCATGTTTGTTAAGCAGAGTGCACACTGATTTCTTTACAGAACAATAGTAATTTTTCTTCTTACAATAAAGCAATGCCAGGTTATCATTAAGGTGGCACATCTTGGTGTGTTAAGAGCCCAGTATTCTGCAAGTAGCTCACTGTAGAATGCCAACCTGAGTTTAATAAGAAAGACAATGACAGAGAGAGAGAGAGAGAAAGAATGAAATGAATTGTCCCCCCACTAATACATATCCACACCAAATGTTGATTTGGTGATGCTAAACCAATGCAATTTCAATCTTATTATGAACTAATTAAACAAAATATTTTAAATAAAAATAAAATATATTCTAAAATAACTAGAAAATAAGTATACAAATACAATTTTCAATAAAAATACTTTGCATCATAGTATATTTACTTACTTTTGATTCCCACCAATCCAAGTGTTGCCATAATCAATATCACTTTGAGAAGAAAGCTAAGACCATTGATATTGCTATAAGGCAATTAGAGTAGAAAAACAAAGGGCATAAGCCAGCCATAAGCTGAAGTGGTGCAGAAGGTCTAAAGGTCATAGAGAGCTAGAAGAGGAACACTAGCAATATAGTAGAGGAACAATATGTAAGAAGCAAAAATAACTATAAGTGTCCAGGTGAGGTGAATAATCAGTAGTCGGTGTCGGTCAGATGATTCCAAGGATCTTAGCGTAGTTAAGGCATTATCAACTTCAAAAGTGCTCCAGAGAACTCGGGGGAAGATAAGAAAGGAAAAATTGAGATGAAGCAAAACTTGAAAATAGGAGCTAAGTGCTAAGGATTACATCCTTTTTACTTATCAGAGAAAAGATGTAGAGAGATCTAATAATAGGCTTTAACAAACAGGCAGTGAGAGGGGAAACTGGACCCACTGAAGAAGAAAAAATGGGCAAAACTAGACTTGTGTGTATGCATGGATACTTTTATTTAAGCCAAGAGGGATGCTTTTCTCCCAAGATAGGTATTAAATTACTAGGTTATGACTGAGGGAATCTGAAGTTTTCTTCCCAAGAGGATTTTATTTTTGCTTTTTTTTTTTTTTTTTTTTTTTTTTTTTTTGCGGGGTGCTGGGGACAGGGGAAAGAGGAGACCACTTATTCTCTGGTTCAGGTGAGTCTTTCCGTGGGACGCAGGCACCTGGCCAGCGGATGCGCCCTGACTTTCCCTGTGTCCCTGTGAGCCCATTGGCAGTGCTGGCCAAGTCCCTGCATGGAGCTGGATGGTTATTGAGTGTGGGTTCTCTTTGGTAGCCACATTTCTTGAAGGTTACTTAGAAGTTTGTATTTTCTTTTTTCTTTTCTTTTCTTGTCTTTTTTTCTTTTCTTTTCTTTTCTTTCTTTTTTCTTTTCTTTTCCTTTTTAAATGCTTTCTCTTGATGAGTTTCACAGAGCAGCTGTATTACATGCTATTTTAATGCATTTAATAAGAAAATAGATCATCATCTTCCCCAGGTACAAGTGATGGCTGGAATGCATGCACCTCCTTTTGGCTCCCTCTTCAAGCCCCATGAACACTGCATGGAAACGGACTTGTTAATGTCCAAGGCCCATCAACAGTGTTGACCCCAGGAGGGACCCAGGCTGTGACAGTCCTCAGTAGCTGCAAGCACACAGATGCGGGAAGACGCCCGGCCTGGAACGTGGAGTCCCGAGTCAGCAGTGAGGACCCCATAAGAGCATCTCCTTACCCCGTGGGATCCCTGCAGCCCTGCGAGCTGGCAGCACCAGGCACTCTCGAATTGGAAGTGAATGTGGTGCAGAAAGAAAGCAGACTGGGCAACAGTGTGTTTAGGACACAGCGAGATCTTCAGGTGTCTCCAGTCTCTGGGTGTCTGGACCACTGGTCCTCCCCACAGGCAGAAGCCTGCGCTCCACTCTCAGGTGGGCTCCAAGGTGCTGCCTCCCAGCCTGGCGCCTGCCCAGACTACAGGGGACCTTCCCTGGTTGCCCACAGCCCGGCCTCTCTGCCCCACTGGTTCCTGGCAGGAGCAGGCAGAGTCTTCTCGAGGAGCTGACAGTCTCAAAGAAAAACATGCAGATTATACAGATATTGATACTGGAGCTTTGCCAGACCACCTGACCTCAAGATTAAAGACTTATTTCTAAGGCTTATATGTTTTGGTTTCTTGATTTTTAACGTTTTCCTCCTTAATTCATCTGGGATTTATTTAGATATACAGACATGTTTTTAAAGTGTTATCTTGCTGTAGGCGTAGTCCATGAGAAATGCTTTGGGGAAAGTGGGGGTAAGGCAAATGAAATACAGTGCTGGCAGAGGACGGTGGGTCTTGACGTGAAGCAAGTTCAAATTAATTCTTTTTTTATTATTTATTTATTTATATTATACTTTAAGTTCTAGGGTACATGTGCACAACGTACAGGTTTGTCACATATGTATACGTGTGCCATGTTGGTGTGCTGCACCCATTAGCTCGTCATTTACATTAGGCATAGCTCCTAATGCTATCTCTGCCCCCTCCCCCCGACCCCACGACGGGCCCCGGTCTAATTACTAACTCCCAGGGGATCAACCGAGGTTACCAAGAGAACAGTCAGAAAGTGTCCAGGTTGACTTAAAGGTTTATTTTCAGAAAACTTCTTGCATCCAGGAGTCCCATGGTAAACAGATCCTGAAAACAAGTCCAGCAGTTTCGGCAGCAAGTTTCAAGGGACGTCCCAAGAGGGTGTGGCAAAGCAGCCCATGTCCCAGCCTCTCTAGATTCTTTAGAAACTTCTCCTATGAAAAGCATAAAGTGAATGACTTTCTCTCTATTAGAGGCATTTCTGTTTTAAATATTTTGGAATTAAGGCAAATATTTCAAGTCAGCGTTGTTCAAAAGGAGGTCTCTGCAACAGATGACTTAGAATTATCGCAAAAATGCAGAGTCCTGGACCTACTAGATGTGGCCAATCAAAATCCCATCAGAGGCACTCACTTACTAACTGATCATAACACAGGGAGTGCTCTGCAATGGTGAAGTTTACGCATCAACTTGATGGGGCTGAGGGATGCCCAGAAAGTTGGCAAAAACATTATTTCTGACTGTGTCTCTGAGGATATTTCTGGAAGAGATTAGCATTTACATCAGTAGACCAGTGAAGGAGAACAGCCCTCAACAATGTGGATCTGTGTCATCCAATCCACTGAGGGCAGGAATAGAAAAAAAAGGTGGAGGAAGGGCAAATTTGCTTTCTTCTTGAGCTGAGACATCCTTCTTCTCCTGCCCTCACACATTGTCCTCCTATTCTCAGGCCTTGGAATTCAAATCTAAATATACCACCGGCTTGCCTGGTTCTTCAGCGTATAGACAGCAGATCATGGGACTTCTTAGTGTCCATAATGGTGTGAGCCAATTCCCACTATATATATATATGTATATATATATATATGTGTATATATGTATATATGCATGTATATATGTATGTATATATGTATGTATATATGTGTATATGTGTTTATATATGTATATATGTATGTATATATGTGTGTATATATGTATATATGTATATATGTATATATACACACATATATACACATACATATAAATGATGGGAATATATATATATATCTTCTTTTTGGTTTTGGTTTCGTTTATCTGGAGAATGCTAATATATACTCCTTCTCAAGCGAGGAATATAAAGAGGTTAGGGCATACACTCCAATTTATTAAGCACCCTCTGAATGGAATGTAATTATTTAATACATTCTGGAGAACTTCTAATCTCTCTGATACCCAGGCCACACCCCAGACCAATTAACTCACAGCGTCCCAGAAGGTGAGACTTGGGCATCCATGCTTGGTGGGAGACTTCTCACATGATTGTAATGGACAGAAAAATTTGAGAACCAGAGAGAAAAATGAATCAAAATTATATTAACATGTTAGAGTGTTAGAATAGAGCAGTGATTCTCAACCTCGATCTTGTATTATAATCCCCTGATGGAGGCTGTTAACAAACACACCTGACTGGGCCCCGTCCCAGGGTTTCTGGTTCGGCAGGTCTGGGTGATGCCTACGCACTGCATTTCTAACAAGCTTCCAGCGATGCTGCTGGCCTGGAGACCATGTTCGGAGACCACCTAGATTACACAACATGATACTGAACAACATACATCGCAAAAAAATCTCTACGCCACTGCATACATGTGACAAGCTTGAAAGCCTTCATAGGTGGGATAAATTTAGAATTTTAATACTGATGCTCCACAGAAAAGCTAAATGTCCAGGCAAGAGCTGAGCAAATTTACTCAATTCTTTCCCTAGTCTCCTGTGGAAAGAACCACATCCAATGTGTTTTTTGAACTGCTCCCAAGGGTAATTTGCCTATTTAAGGGGCGCGCTGCCTTACACTTACCTAAACATTGCAGAGCTCAGGTGGAAGATGGAAATAAATCAACCCAATGGCATTTAAAGTTGAAAAAGAGTTAGTGGGACATCACGTGCAGGAAGATGGAGCATTTCTCCTACTTCTCCAACTAAGGGAAATGAAAACCCTGAACATTATATAGAAAACAAACACAAAGAGGCTCTGAAAGGTGGGGAGAAGAAGGCAGACCAGCTAGGAAACAATACAAGGGTGACTTATTTGTGTTTTCTTTCTTTTTTCTTTTTCTTTTTGAGAGTCTCGTTCTATTGCCCAGGCTGGAGATGAGTGGCATAATCATCCCTCACTGAAGCCTCTATCTCCTGGGCTCCAGTGATCTTCTCACCTGAGACTCTGAGTAGCTGGAACTATAGTTGCACACCACCACACCTGGCTAATTGTTTTGATTTTTAGTAGAGATGGGGTCTTACTATGTTGCCTAGGCTGGTCTTGAACCCTTAGTCTCAAGCAATCCTCCTGCCTCAGTCTCCCAAAGTGCTGGGATTATAGGCCTTAGCCACCATGCCCAGCCCCTGGGTTTTCTTTGTGTTTATGTATCCCAGGCTTAGAGAGGAAAAAGTCAGCAACCTGGAAGTGCCAAATGGCAAAGACTCTCAAACAGCTGCACCAGGAACCTGCAGGGGGTCATCCCCCTTACCCAGACCCTATGATTGAGTTGTTGTGAGGTGTGACCTGGGATCAAGATTTGTAAATCTTCCCCAGGGGTTCCAGTGTGAAGCAAAGATTGAGAACCAGGGACCTAGAACAGGTGTCAGAAAACTCTGGGCCCTGTGTTGAATCTGTTCAGGGGCCTGTTTTTGTAAATAAATTATTACTGGGAGTCGGCCATGCCCATTTCTTTGCATGATGTCCTGGCTGCTTTTCTCGTAGAACTCAGAATTGAGTAGTTGCCTCAGAGACCATCTGGCCACAAAGCCTGACATAATTGCTGTCTGGAAACAGAAAAAGATTGTTGACCTCTGACCTGGAAAATATGGTAGTTATGAAAGTCATACGATCCACTCTATGATATGATGACTTTGAAAACTCCAGTAGGTTTTACTTCACTTAACTAAAACATAGTTGTAAATGTCCTCTATATGTAGAATAGGTGCGTCACCCTGGAGTTCTTTATTTGGCTCCTGGCACTTCAGCAGATGAGAGGCACCCTCCAGGTAGTGAGCACACAGAGGAAAGGCAAGCAAAATACTGAAGGGTTCAGAGACTATGGGGGGACATGTTACTGAGGGATCTGGAACTCTTGTACAGAGAGAGGGAAAAAAGATGGCTAGGCAGGAATATGATAAGTGCTTTCAAGTATTTGCAGGACTCTAATGTGTCAGAGGGTTTAAATTTATTCTGTGTAACCTCGCAGAGAAGATAGATGCCCAGTGGATGGAAGATGTAAGAAATTAGATTTGACACAGTATTAGACAGAATTTCTAACAATAAAAAATGTCCATGAGATGATTCACTTCCTCTCATTGAATATTCTTGTGAGCTGGTACCTTTCAGCATCCAGAATGTGCTACATGGCTCCCTCACCCCGTTACTTAGGGACTGTATTAGTTAGGACAGATTAAATTGATATAACAAATAGATCCCAAAGTGTGTTCTGTTGATGTAGTCCATTTGCCTGCTAGATCCCCTGTCCAGCTCTGTGCTTGGACTCAGGAGGCTGTCTGCATGGGTTCTATCAGTCTCATGCCCTGTGGCCTCCTTTGCTCCAACAGGAGCCCCTGTAGGAGATCAGAGAGAAGAATGTGGACGAGGTGTGATTCCCTGACTTCTCCCTGTGAGGTCGTTGTGGGCTGGCTGTCATCTTGACAGAACATCCCTTCCCCTTTGGAGGAGCCTGCTCCGTGCAACTCTTTTTGGTTTCCAGTAGGCTCTCCTGCCCCTGTCCTTCCGACCCCTGATAGTGTTACGTTCCTGCTCCATCCCTCCTGGGTCTCCTCCATCCTGCCCACACCTATGTAGTAAGTCCCTTTGCGAACAAACTTTCCTGAAAATGGCTTCATTTAGTGTGCTCGTTGACTTCTATTGGTCTGCTGACTGATAGGTGGATGCTGAGTAAACCACAATTGAAGTTTATGTGTCACTCACGAAAGAGTTCAAGGTTGGTGCTTCTGCCTGTCTGGAATCCAGGGTGTTGCAGTCTTGGTCAGCTGGAAGGGGAAATAGAGAATGAAGCAATGCATGCAGGTGTCTTCTGTTAGCTGGGCCTGGAAGGGCACGTTGAGCACTTCCATTCTGTTGCCTAGGACTCAGCCACCCAGTCTCACCCGACTAAGAGAGGGGATTGGAAATGGAATCTAGCTGTGTGCTCAGGAAGACGAGGAGGTAGATTCTGGTGAATAGCTCCACCAGCACTGACCATTTATTTGGAAGCAATTGGCTACTTCTGACTGGTTTCTATTAGTGCATCAAGTATAGCAGAGATCTAAGTCAGTTTAGAAGGATGGCCCCACGATGTCAGACCGGAGATCCTGAGTGTCCAGCACTGCACCCAGTTCTCATCACGTAACTAGCCACTTAGTGCAGGAATAGAAATCATATTGGTAGTGAGGCTTTTCTACATCTGCAATGAGGATGAGACCTCTAAACACCTTTGGCTTTTTCTGGATTTCATACTCTTCTCACACAAAGTCAGGAGAGCTCACATATCCCTTGATCTGTATGAAAGAACTGTGGACTGTGGCTCTTCCACAGGACAGAGATTGAAACCAGTCTGAAAATGGCAGTTAATCAAAAGTGCACAGGTCTAATATACTGTGGGAAGCGTAAATATATTTATTGCACAAATATGAAATGAAGCTTCCAAGAAAAAATGAAAATGACTCTAACTTAGTTGTCACATTAAGGTAGAAGTTAAATGTATTTATGCACATTGGAGTGACAATTGTGTGTAAATTTACCCCAAATCAAAACCCACAGAGATTTTGGGCAGCAGAAAGCAGGTGTAACAGGAACTGCTGGGGCTCTACCCAGATTTCTTTCTACCAAATGTGCCCGCATCTCAGCAGGTGAAACAGGAACTGCTGGGGCTCTACCCAGATTTCTTTCTACCAAATGTGCCCACATCTCAGCAGGTGAGATTGCTGACAGCCTAGCCTAGAGAGGCCTGGGAAGTTACAGAATGACCGGCCCCAGAGACCATCACTGATTGAAACCTGAGCACAAATCCAGGCTTTCTTCCTAAAAATAGAAAAATCCTGGTTTCCTTCATGCTCCAGAGCTCCCTGTGGTCAAAATGAATCCAAAGTCATCAGAGACTACATCTTTGTTAGGTTCCTTTGCTGCTACAGGAGGTTCAGAAATTCTATGTACAGAAAGAAATTCATCTAAAGACATCATGAACAATTTTGGCTTGATTTTATCAAGACTGTGATAAATATAATTTGTTAATTTCAAAGTCAATTTTCAGAAATTTAAATGCATTTTATAAACAGCCTAGTTTGAGGCCTATGTACATAATACTGCTCTCCTCTCCTGGGAGCACTTCTTGAATAAGTCATTTATACAAGAATCTCTGTCTCAGGCTCTGCAGCCAGGAACCTGCCTTAAGATGGCTGGCTGGAAAAACCATTTCATGGGGTTGCAAACAACGTGATGGTGAGACTCCTTCCTCCACCTCCACCTTTGACCCTAGCACATGTGCTTCTACAGCAGGTGATTATGGAGCTCCTCACCAACCAAAGCAGCTTTGATGACATCTTATACATAATCCAAACGCAGGCTCTGCAATACTGTTGATCTAAATACAGTGAAAGGGAGTATCGGGAGGGTGAATGCATTGGTGATTGGTGGCCAAGACTGAAGGTTGAGATGACACCCAGGATGCCATAGACAGGATGTTAACTCAGGCAGCCTAATTAGGGTGAAATGTGCAACACGCCACTCAAAAGATAAGACAGGTTAGTACCAATGACTGGATCTAGGGGATGGCAGAGAAGTTGGCATCAAGTCACACTGCATGTGAGACTGCGGCCACCTTCAGCTCTAGGGCCAGAAACCAGGAGACAGAAGAAGGACTGAGATACCACCACTGAGCCAGTGAAGGTTCTTTTCAGGGATGTCAGGTGTAAACAGGTTGGTTGTCATTACTCAGGATCCATAAACTCAGGAGTTTGGGGACAGCTGGGCTACCCTGTAAACAAGAGGTCAGCAGCTAGAATAAAAATATATTGTCTTTTTTTTATTATACTTTAAGTTCTGGGGTACATGTGCAGAATGTGCAGTTTTGTTACATAGTTATACACGTGCCATAGTGGTTTGCTGCACCCATCAACCCATCACCTACTATCCCTACCCTACCCCCCGACCCTCAAACAGGCCCCAGTGTGTGATGTTCCCCTCCCTGTGTCCGTGTGTTCTCATTGTTCAACTCTCACTTATGAGTGATCAATAGGTGGGGTCTTTTGAAAATAAAGCCTATGCTTCTGTGTTGGATCTTCTTCATAAAGAGAGGGTGGACTAAGTGAGATACTCCCGGATTGGCAGTCCTATTAACTCTGAAACTGGAGCTAAGGTCTTCACTCTTTCTTTGCCAAGAATGTTGTTGTTGGCTCGAATGTTAAGTGAGTGGCTGACTTCAAGTGATAGAGCTATAATTTCATTAGCTTGGGACTCCAGTGAATTATTGGATATTAGAACAGAGTATCAAGTTACATTTGCAACCTGGACTAACTATATGCCCTTCTCATGTTTTACTTTACACTCCGTTACAATACGAAGGATTTTGGTTTCTTTACCTGATGGAAGTGGCGGGTCTTGAAAGAAATCAGGTTTACAATTTGAGAGTGAGTCATGAGCTTGTTTGGAATGTAAACGAATTTGTATTCTTTTTCCTTTTGGCAGGAACAGCGAAGGTTTAGAAGTAATATTGAGAAGAGGTAAAGGTAGCAAATATTTTTTGATTAAAAGGAAAACATTGTTTCCACCTATGTTGCTTATTTGGTAATGTTAGCCAGGATATGTTCAGCTTCAGGAGGTTCAGAAATTCTATGTATAGAAAGAAATTCATCTAAAGGCCTCAGCGAACAATTTTGGCTGTATTTTGTCAAGACTGTGATAGGCACAATCTGGTAATTTTAAAGTCAATTTTCACAAGTTTGAAGACATTCAATAAATAGGCTAGTTTGGGCTACATACAATACATAATACATAATCCCTCCTCTTTGTCTCTAGGCCATTTCTGCTTTATCTGAGGAATCTCCTGAATACACCTGTTCAAACACATCGTATGCATTTCTCCATTTCTGCACTTCTGCAAAGGTTTGCAATTTTAAAGTGTGTTCTTCTCCCTCATTTGTCTGAAAACTCCTTGAGGGCATGGGATGAATCTATTCATCTTTGATCTTTTAAATTTAGCATAGTGTCTGGGACATAATCCATGCTAAATATGCGTATTAAGTAAGTGAATGAATAAATGAATAAAGAAAGACCCAGAATAAGTTAAGTGGCTTGGAGGAGGAAATGTATGTAAGCACAAGAAATACAATTTTCATACTTAGAAGAACTTTAACTGTTTTTTTGATATTAAAAAGGACTAACATTTAAGGTTGATATCTCTACCTTTATGTATAAATCCCTATATCAAATTAGAATTTCTGTATATTTATATATTTCAACTTTTAGAGGAAGTCTCATCTCTAGGAAGTAATGATATGTATATGTGGTCTGCCAAATATTGATACTTACTGGAAATGAATGGAGGCTGGTTTTTGTAAGCAAATGCGCCGTATAATTAACAGAGAATATATAGATAAGAAGTACAAGAGGAAAAGTTCTATCTTGGATCAAGACTGGCTAGGGTAACCAAAAGAATAGATAAAAAGAGTGGTTATTAGAAAAAGAAAGGAGAGAGGGGCAAAAACTATGCAAGGCAAAACATAGGAAGCCACTGAAATTGCTGTAGACAAGCTATAAAAGAGTGGAAATAGAACTAGTGCTCCACGCCATCACTTTTTCTCACCCGGGTTATTGGAATAGCCTTCTAAATGCCTCCACACTTCTGTCCTTATCTGCCTTATGTCAAGTCTCAATATGGAAGCTGGAGGGATCCTTTCAAAACCTGACTCAGATTGCATCACTCCTCTTCCTCCAGTGGCTTCTGACTCACAGTCACGAAAAAAGCTATAAAATTCTGCATGATCTCATCACCTCCTACCCTGATCTTTTTGACATCATCTCCAATAGGCTCTCCTGCCTTATTCACTCAGCTCAGACCTCACGACCTCCTTTCTGTTCCAGTTCAATGCACACATGCTAGAAAATTGAATATTTTGCCTGAGGACCAAGTTGGGTGAGAACTATTCTGTCTGATTTTTACTGCAAATACATTGATAAGATGGACTAAGTTCTTCTATGTCCATGGCTTCCTTAGACTCATGGTTGGAGATGACCAAGTTCTCATTTGCAACTCTAGCTCTGAGCCAAGCACTGTCATCCAACATTGGATGACAATTCATTTCAACAATTCTCATTTCTAATGTGTCGCTCAAAGAGAACTGGTGAGGGGAGGGCTGGGTTCAGACACTGGTGATCCTTGGCCCTGCCACTCTCACAATAGTGCCCAGAGAGAAGCTCAGCCCCGGTCTCTAACTGAAGGGAATGAACACTGCATTCTCGTTCTGACAGTTCTCTCATTTCTTCTCCATTTATCTCTTTAAACTTTTCCTCTTTGTGCAAAAAGATAAAAATATATAAATAAACTGAGAAAAGGAAGATTGTGGTTAGGGTCCAGTTTAGAGCCTCAGGCGAACTGTCATTTTCTTCTGTTTTCAATGGATAGTGGGACAAGGACAATAGGAGGATGGGTCTTTCTAACCAAAATTCAGAAGCCTGAATTCTTCCACAGTGGTATGTCTATTAAGAAAAACATGGGAGAATGGTTTCCTTAAAATGTTATTTTTTCCTATTACGAGCATTTGTGATTTAATTCATAGTATCTCTGAAATGGAGTTTAAGAAAAACATATATATCGAACTATGTGAAAATTACTGAGTACAATATTTTATTTTTAGTAGTGCTACGGTCATCTCTTTGGCTTCTTCTTGGAAAGTTCTATACCATTATTCACTTTTTCTGTATCTACATGGGGATGCTCTTCCTTTCTCAGTCAGTGCTTTTCCTAAACTTGCCTGCAGTGCTGTAGTCAGCTCATTCATTCTTGTTTTCCAATAAGGTGAAGCATGCATTAATACTCATGGAAGACCCAGACATTACGTCTCTGTAATGTCATAGAAAAGGCTGACCGTTCTCCTAAGGGGTTCTTTTCCACAGTAACTGTGGAGTTGAAGTGGAGGAGAAGCTTGCTGGTGTCTTCAGGTCATCAGGTTACAGCAACACCTTCATAAATCAAGCAGGGCTCTTCCTTTGGTGAGCCAGTGAGTATCGAGGCTGGCCAGCTGCCAGCAGCCCGTGCTGCTCTCCTTCTCCCTGATCCAGGGACCTTGGCTACCACTCACTCTGCTTCTGACAGTTCATTGGCACCAGGACAGCAACAGCAGAAGACCAGCTGTTGAACACTGAGAGTTCTTGTGAGAAAGGTACCATCATCTCTGATTTGTAGACCGCTTTTTAAAAAAGCAACAGTTCATCAGGAATCGTATTTTTCTACAACTCTATGATTGAATCAGACTTCTAGGTTTGTGTACCCCTACATCAAATGGTGATCATTTAGAATTCTCTTACAAAGATATTATATCTATACAGACAACGCTACTCTGCTTAATGTATACATGCCCATCTGAAGAAATAGCTTCCAGTACTTTGTTTTTATTATTCTGCTTCCAAAGCCATGTGAGTTCCCTTGTACAGTTATGTGGAGTTTTTATTTCCCACAACTCAGCTACTCCTTCAGGAAACTGTGTACAAATAGGTTCTTTTTTAAACACACACACACATACGCAAACACACACACACACACACTGTAATACTTCACAACATAGAACAACAGTCAACAGTCAACGTAGTGTTCCCCTTGAATGATTAAAGACCCAACCCAACACCAGAAGCTGGCGAAGAGAAGGAAATACTCCCTGACATTTTATCAGCTGTAGAGACTTGTGAGGCATTTATTGTGAGAAATCATCACAATATGTCTTGATGTGGATTTGACTTAGGGGAAAAGCAAACACAATTTGGGTTAGGTTTGCTTTTATCATTTCAAAGAATGATTATGAAGATGTGAGAGATTCCCAGATCCCATTGTACCATTTCTGCTCTCAACATTACAGAGATCCCTAACCACAACCTGGTGCTTAAGCCAAGATCTATTCTCATAAACCTCTATCGCATCAGGTTCCTTAAATAATAGGTGAGGTCAGTGAAGATTATTTCATGAAACTGATCAATCTTCTTGAGAGTGGAAAATTCCACTGGATGGATACTCCCAAAGCTGATGTCCTCTTCCAACCAGCAAATATTTATTGAGAATACTTAATGTGCTAGGCATATTGTAGATACCCTGCTAATATAACAATGCTTAAAACAGATGAAAATCCCCTTCCTCCTGAAGTTTTTATTCCAGTAAAGGGGGACAAACAGCACAATTATACAAAGAAGTAATGCATACCATATTAAATGTCGGGAACGGCTATGGAAGAAGAGAGTAAGAGACTGTGAGGTGTAAGAGGATCATTGTCATTTTTGAACAGGATGTCTTAGATGATATAGAATAAATAAGAATTTTATACATATTTTTAAATACTTAATTTTAATGTATTTTAGAAGCTTTCAAATATAACCATGGAGGTTTTCGTTCGTTTGTTTTCTGGTTTGTTTGTTTTTAGAAGTTGTCAAGGGAAGCTTTGTCTATTCTTATAAAAACAATGTTGTATTTCCGTATTCATTCCCGGTCAACGCAGAAATTTGCAGAGAAGCTATTTATGTGGAAATTAATAGGCACTGAATAAATGAATGCATGAATGAATGAATGAAATGACGAGTTAGCCAGGGAGATTTTTCACACTACGAGAGAGAGTCTTCCCTGAGGAAGGTCAAACTTGCTGGCAGGCCCCCATCAGAAGTTGGCGTTACCTCCAAGGGCAACCACAGGGCATGGAGAGAAGTCAGAAGTGGGAACAGGAGCAGGGAACTCGGTGCCTTAGAAGCCAAGAAGGGGAACCAGCCTCAAGAAAAGGAAATGAATGGTTCTTGTCTCCTTCAGAGACCAGAGGGGATGAGAACAGGGAAAAGGCCACCAAATCTGACTACTCAAGAAGCCTTTATCTGTTGAAAGAGCAATTGCAGCACAGGCTGAATGCCGGGCTGCCAGGGGTGCAGGGAGGGGAGGCAGTGAATGAGTCTGTTTACACAGGGAGGTAGGATCTTCTCAGATCCATGGTCTAGAGTAAAGACTCTGGCTCTGAATACACAGTTTTATTTCCAACTTCAATGTATTCTTTTAGAAGCATGTTTATGCAAAAAAAAAAAAAAAAAAAAGAAAAAAAGAAAAGAAAAGATAAATTTTAAGAAGCGGTATAAAATCACCAGACTTGCTGTAGAATACCTGGCCATTAGTCTCTGGGTATTAGAAAACTTGGTCATTAGTCCCTGGGTCTTAGAAGACAAGGGCATTAATCCTTGGATATTAGAAAACCTGGGTACAGGTCCCAGATCTACTATTTAATGCACCAGAAAAGTCTTTGAGGCTGAATTTGTTCACCCGCAAAATTGAGATAATAATACTTGTTTTACTCCCAGAGAAAATGTGAAGGTCAAATAAAATGGAAGGTATGAGCCAGCTTTGCAAACTAGAAGGTGCCATAATATACCACGTATCCTTATCAATTTGTTTCTCTTTGTAACAATAGTGAGCTAGATACATGTTGCTTTTTGTTTGTCTGTCTTATGGATAAAGCCATTTTATTAAGCAAAAATTCATGGAAAAGAAAAAAAAATGTATCCATAGCATCTATTTCAATCTACACAGCTTTAATTTAGCATGATAGGGTAAAAGAAAACTTTGGAATGAGATCTCTGTTTTAATTATCAGTTGGCCATTAAGTAGCTTCCAAATGCATGGTAGACTATGTTGCTGTGCTCCGAAAAATCTTCCTCATCATGCTCATTAGCAAGAGCTTCACGATCCCATGTGTCCTCACCTATCAGACTGGGTCACTTTACCTATCTGCCTACAAGACCCCCACTCCATCAGAACTATTGAATGTGCCAACTCCATCACTTCTCTCTCTGTTTGTTAGTGTTGTCACCTCTGTCTATACGTGTTTTCTTTCATACCTTCTTGTATTGGCATTCCACTCAGGTTCTAAGTTACAGCTGACCTTGACTGCCACCTTCTGTCTCTGTCCCATTTGAAGTTAATTGCCCTTTTCCCTGTTGTCCCATGGCACTTTACTGACTTCACTTACTCTTTTTGTCTCTTGTTTAATTGGTAGTTTACACACTTGTGTTTTGTACTATGATGAAAGCTGTTTGAAGAGAAGAACGCCGCCATATGCATGCATCACCATATCACTAATGGTGCCTCTACAACTAGTATCTGTAGGTGCATGGAACAGATGAATGAATCTGCCCTTCATTTATCATCCCTATGTCCAAATGCCATCACCCATGAAACAAGGATGCTAGACAAGGTAACTTCTCAGGCACCTTCCAGCTTTAATGTCCAAGTTCATGATCTTGTCCATTTGCCTGGATTTTCTCTTCTTTCCATTACAATCCATATTTATATATTTTAAGAAGGCACATTGAGTATAAATACACACATGTATATGTCTTTATACATATATACACATGTATTTACATGCACATGTGTGTATATATACACATATATGTGTACATAAAATTGTAGTGATAATAAAGATTTGCTAGATGAATATACACAACACAGTCTTAATGCAAGTGTAAAGACCACCATTTGGCTTCTCTAAGTGTCTGGCTTCTACTGCCAAGTTTAGTTTCACAATTCATTCTATAGTCATATGTTTCAAAAGTACTTCTAATATATATTTATTCACAAACTCAAACCTTTTTTGCTTATAAGGATGAACAACTAACAACAAAATTGTCTGGATCATGCAGATTGACACATTGTTTTTATAACTAAAAAAGTTTAAGTTACTACGTAAAAATGTGATTTTCCTTTTTTTCTTGACGAGAAAGCTGTAAAACTAGGTGACATCCTGTAGTATGGAAGAGGAAACGACATCATATCTTATATTTCTTCATGCTGTGCACAACCTTATCAGTGTGGCATTGTGCTGGCTACTGCACTGTAATATTAGTTTGCAGTTTCATGTTACAGTAAAAGTAAATGCTGTACTGAAACCCTACTTAATATTTACACTTGTGTGAGCCACCACGATGATGCATTATCTTAAGTGCATTACCTCATCCTGTCTGTGAATCAGCATCATTAGATCAGGATGAGATCACTTTAAAAGAAGATTTAAAAGGAATAGGGGTTCTGGGAATGGATCAGGAAGAGGGAGAGACCCTGCTAATGACACTAAGCATTTATGCAAACCATTTGACACAGCCAGCTTTGTGCAGGGCCTACTTGTGCTTTGTACATTTCAGTTCATGGAATTTGCATGATAATTGATGCAAAGTCATTATCGGATCAAAACTTGGAACACACACCAGGATATACTAAGATAATGAAATGCCATATGAACGGTGACTCTTAAGGAAGTAGCCCCCAGTTAGAAAAATTGTGTATACTTTTCTCCCAACCAACCTTCTTCAAGCACTTAAAAAAAAAAAGGTTCCTAGCGTTACAGAATCCTACAATAATTTTAATTTGTGTATTTGGTATCTAAAAGGTCCTGAAAAGATCTCACTTACCATGGTTCTATTATAAATGTTCTCCAGGGAATCCTTGTTAGATAATTTCTCTGTGTCAACCAACGTTAACCAGATTTTTGTGTTCTGAAGCATGCAGGCCTGACTTTTTTTCTAAGCTTTCTTTTATTATAAACTCACATTGCCAGAAAAACCATCATTCTTGTTGTGTAGTGTAGTCTTGGTTTCTTGTTAAGAACTACCAGTCTGAGAACGAAATGACGATTTCTGTTTTTGGGGGAGGGTCAGAAAAGAAGTATTTATTTCCAGCATTTACCAATTAGGGACTAAGATATTAATGTTGGTATATAATAGAATTTAATGATTATAAAATGTCTTCCTCTAACTCCTTAGTCGTGTGAACCAGGTCAGTGCTCATAACTAATCATGTCACTTCTTAACTTAGACCTGTAGAGATTTTAATAATACCTTTTTTCTGTTGTTCATCGATGTTTTTGAACTACTTTTTTACAATCAGAAGGAAATACAGACACAGCAGTCTTCAAGCATTAGATATGATTGCTGCTTAAAGGCAGGTTGATGTAATTTGCTCTAGTTTAATGCTCTCCACTAATCAAGATGTAATTTTACAGTAATTTCATGTATTTCTAGACCTCAGAGCTGAAAGGACTGCTCAAGGCCATTGAATTCAGATCTGATGGGTGGTTCTTGCCCAGAGAGAGCATCCCTAATAAGCAGCTGTTGTGCCTAAGCATCACTTTGTGCCATGGTCCATTCCATCTGGGGACACGGTATATTGTGAAAACACTCTTTTTTGTTTGTTTGTTTTTGTTTTTGTTTTTTGAGATAGAGTTTCACTTCTGTTGCCCAGGCTGGAGTGCCGTGGTGTGATCTCGGCTCACTGCAGCCTCCACTTCCCGGGTTCAAGCGATTCTTCTGCCTCAGCCTACTGAGTAGCTGGGATTACAGGAGCATGCCACCATGCCTAGCTAATTTTTGTATTTTTAGTAGAGATGGAGTTTCACCATGTTGGTCAGGCTAGTCGCAAACTCCTGACCTCAGGTGATCCACCCACCTCGGCCTCCCAAAGTGCTGGGATTACAGGTGTGAGCCACCTCATCCGGCCGTGAAAACACTCCTTGTTAGTTCTAGTTTAAATCTTGGTGTCTGTGAACTCCACTCCTAAGATTTGCCTGTGTGCCCCTCCACATTTTGCATAGGTCTTCGTACACCTTGGGCTCTTTCGTTGATGGATTTTAAAATACCTGGGTGCAACTCAAACTGATTGAAAAAGCTTATCTAAAGAGAGTTTGTTCATGAGTGATCTATAGCAGGCTAAAGATGACATGATTTTAAGAAATGCAGATGAATGTGTCATCTGGAGAGGAGAGGACTCCAAGAAAGAGTGCTCTTTGTCTTCAAATATTTCAAGGGCTGATGTACGATAGAGGAATTTGACTCATTCAATGTGGTCTTAATGAAAAAGCGGTGCTCAAAACATAAAAGGAAAAAATTCAGTGCCTTTTAGGGCCCTTTGTAGTGTAGCATAGTGAGGAGGGTTTATGTAACTTGTAAATATCAGTGCAAAATGAAAATGGGGCTGACTTGCTTAAAAACCAGGAAAAATTGCAAATAGAAGTACTTATATATAACATATACACATTATCTTTTATACATTATATTTATAGGTATTGTATACATATAAAATCTTTTTATCTATTGTTTTTCTTGACCTGTCATGGAGTTTTATATTTGCTGTTTAATATTGTACTCCCTTAGAAGAAAACCTTTTGGGGCAAGTGCAGACTCTCAGAGGTCCTGAGGGCTCCACCTTGCCAGTTGGGATTCATATGGCGTAGCAGGTGGCCTGCTGGTTTCCCTCCTGCCAGGAACTCCTGCCCTGTGCCTTGTCAACGTTGAAGAATTGAGCTGGGTGTCTCCTTCCCCATGGGTCCACTGCCTCAACCACCACAGATGAGGGACCCTCAAGATGTTGCAGCCTCTGCGCTAGAATAGACTCAGGACCCGGAGCAGGGTGGTCCCATGCTGCCCTACCACGCTGCCTTACCGTGACTGCCAGCTCAGGGAGAGGAGGCCACCACGAGGCTAGTGCCCAGGTCCCAGCCAGGGGCAGAGTGCAGCAATGATGGCTGAACGGGGGCTGAGAGGGGACTGGCAGGGTCCAGTGAGTCAGGGATTCGGGCCAGCATTAGGAAGCCAAGAACTCCTTCCAGAGAGGTGGCAGGAAGCAGGACACAGACTGAGGCCCCAAGTCTCCAGTGTAAGCTCTGTGGTCCCATCTGACTTCACTTACGAGACAAATTCACAGACAAAATTAGCAAAAATTAGAAGGCAGTAGCAGTGAGCATTAAACCCCAAGCACTAGCCCATCTGCGTTCTGGGCCTCATGCGGTGACTGACACAGGTCTCACGCTGTGAAGCTGGATCTGCGCTAGTGGGTGTGAGCGCGCCTTGTGGAGCCAGAATGCCAAGGAAGACTCCAGCACCAGCCCCTCGTGGCTGTGGCACACCAGGCAAGCTAAGCCTTGGGCTTCAGTTTAGTCCCCTGTAAAATGGGAGTAGTAACAGCACCTGCCTCACAGAGACGCCGTGAGGACTGAGTGGCCAGGTTGTTGTGAAGTTCCATGTAACTGTCTGTCCTTAATGTTGGCCTTATCATTACCTGTGCTCTTAGAATCATTTCTGATTAAATTATCCTGTGGTCCAGGAACTTGGTGGGTCTGTATGATACGGATTATTTGAGATTCATAGGGAATTCCTAGTCTATAGTCAATTTTTGTAAATTTTATCACTACCAGATAGTAATTGATTAAAGGGGAGACATAAAGAAACAAGGTTATCTAATATAAAATATTTGCAATGGAGAAACTACATTTATAAAAATTTACATAATACAAAAGTTAAGATTGAGGAGTAAACAGCTCCGTTTCTGGAACCTGGCAAGATCCTCATTCCATGTGATGCTTTCCCTAAGACTGTAGCTCCGTCAGTGCCTGTGGGAGACCTGGGGCACTTTCTCTCCGTAAAGCTGAATACTTCGGCCAACTCTTATCTTTCCATCTCTAAATCACCCTTCACTTCAGACTCTTTTCATCCTTTATGTACTTATGTTGGCATCTTTATGTTAAATAATCTACTTTCTCATAGTTTCAATCATGCAGTTCTGGGTCTACCAGAAAAGAATACATGAGCTAAGTTTTGGGCATGAGAAATATGTGTTGGCCAGCGCGCTTTTCAGTTTCAGGTATAGATCTCTCTTTTTTTTTTTTTTTTTTTTTTTTTTTTTGAGACGGAGTCTCGCTCTGTCGCCCAGGCTGGAGTGTAGTGGCGGGATCTCGGCTCACTGCAAGCTCCGCCTCCCGGGTTCACGCCATTCTCCTGCCTCAGCCTCCCAAGTAGCTGGGACTACAGGCGCCCGCCACTACGCCCGGCTAATTTTTTGTATTTTTAGTAGAGACGGGGTTTCACCGTTTTAGCCGGGATGGTCTCGATCTCCTGACCTCGTGATCCGCCCGCCTCGGCCTCCCAAAGTGCTGGGATTACAGGCGTGAGCCACCGCGCCCGGCCTCAGGTATAGATCTCTTAAAGTTCTTTTCTGTGATTATAATTTACCCTTAATTTTGTCTCTTTTTTGCTTTATATATTTGACATTATATGATCAGGGACATAAAAGTTGTGATTTTTACATATTCTTGATGGTAGAATATTTATTATTACATAGTATTCATTTTTATTCAAAATTATCTATCATTAATAGTTTCACACCCGTTTACATTTGCCTAGTTATAAGGCATAATGTACCATTTTTGTGTGTGTTTTAATTTTGTCTAGCTTATAGCTGGGCATTTATAAATCTAACCTGATAACCTGTCTTTCAATAGTTTTGGACAATTACATTTATTGTTACTATTGACTGATATACTTGGATTATTTCTACTATCTTACTTTTTGTTTTCTATTTTTATTATTTTTTACTACCTTTTGCTGTATTGATGGTTTCTATAGCACCTTTATCCTGCTCTACACAACTCTTCCATTCTTTCAGACTGACCCTTTTATTACTGACATACATAATTCACTGCATTTTTTGCTTGTGGTTAATGTTAGTCCCTATTTCTACCTTCCTTATGACCTTGCCTTAAATACTCATTGAAAATCTCTTTCCAGGACATTATTGTGTAGTTTTATTTTCAGCCTTTTGTAATAAAAAATCGTTTCCTTTGAAAAATGAATGAACACATGCATATCTAATTTATGTGTCCACTATTGTTCTTTATTGCCATACCTTTGTAGTGATTTACTTTCTATATGAAAATGTAAATACATTCTTCATCAGTTCCTTTGGTGACAGTGTGAGTGTGGGGAGGAGAGAGAGAAGATGGTAAACTCCATAGCTGGTACATGTTGAAAAATATCTTTGTTTTGTACTTACATTTTAAACTTCATGTTAGAATTTTAGAGCTGATGGGAAAGTGAAAGAGTTAATGATCTGATTAGTAATTCCAACCTCCATTCCTCATGCTTTTCGTTAGTTACATTACTTTTACAATTTCAACTTTTATAATATCAAATGATCTTCTCTAGTGCTAATATAAATAGTTTGAGTTTTATATTTAAATAATTTTGTGACTCTTCACCAGAGTTATTTGATCACAATTTCTCCTTTTCTGTGTTACGTTTATTCCTTTGTTGGTTGTTTAGCTTTCACCTTAATTAGACATTTCCAAATGCCACTATTTTTGTGTGCTAGTTTAATTGCATACACAATTCTAGGCCAGCAGCTCTTTCAGCTCAGTAAGCACGTTTCTCCATTTTGTACCGATATCTATTATCCCTAATGGAAAGTCGGCTATCTGTCTAATTGCACTCCTTTGGAGGTAATTTATTTTTATTTATCGTACTTGTGTGCACCTAAAATATAACTTTCTTGAATTATTGAAAACATGCGTAATTATTTCTTTATCACCCTCTGATATTCCTTTCATTCTTTTCTGGGATTTCTATTTTATGAATGTTGGAGACATTCTTCAATTGTTGGAAGAATAAATTGAAGACTTGTTCTTCAGTTTCTTTCAAAAGCACTTAATTAGAAAATAAACTTTTAGTTTCTCTGTGCTACTTTCTCAGGTGACGCATTGGACCCATATTCTATTTTGCGAATTCTCTAACTCTCTCAGGCCTTCTGCGTGGCTCCTGTGTGGTGGGCAGGATTCTGAGAATGCCCCACACTGACCCCTGGCCCTTATAAATCCTCTCTGCCATGCGTGATGTGGCTATGATGAGATGTCACGGTTGTGGGGTACGTTATACTGCCGAAGGGAGAGTATCTGAGCGGGCCTCATCTAATCACACAAACCCTTTAAAGATAGTTACTCCAGTTCTTAGTGAAAAAGAGGTCAGAGGGAGTAGAAGGGTATAGTAGTCCATTCTCACATCGCTATAAAGAAATACCTGAGACTGGGTAATTTATAGAGAAAAGATGTTTAACTGGCTTATGGTTCTGCAGGTTCTACAGGAAGCACGGTGTCTTCCGCTTCTGGGGAGGCCTGAGGAAACTTAGAACCATGGGGAAAAGCAAAGGGAAAGAAGTCCCATCTCACATGGCAGCAGCAGGAGCCAGAAAGAGAGAGGGAATGTGCCACACACCTCTAAACAACCAGACCTCATGAGAACTCACTATCCTGACGACACCACCGAGGAGATAGTGCTAAACCGTGAGAAAACGCCCCCAGGACGCAATTCCCCCCTCCAGGCCCCACTTCCAGCGCTGGGGATTACGTTTTGACATGAGATTTCTGCAGAGACGCAGATCCAAACCATATCAAAGTGTGAAGTGAATCTGGTGGACCACTGTGGGCTTTGAAGATGGAACAGACCACGTGGAGGGCGTGGAGGGTACAGCACTCTCTGTGAACTGAGAGTGGCCCTGGCTGACAGCCGGTGTGGAAATAAGGACCTCAGATCACTGGCAATAAGAAACTGAATGCCACAAACAACCTGAGTATGCCTGAAAGTGGATTCTTCCCCAGAGCCTTCTTCTAGCACGGGGCCCAGTACACACATCGCTTTCCCCTTGTGATAACTAAGGAGAGAACCGGAGACCTCCCCACTTCTGGCCGGACCTCAGCAGGTGATATATATACAACATCTATATTTCTTCTAAGACATCACCTAATACTTTTTTTTTTTTTTTTGAGGTGGGGTTTTGCTCTTGTTGCCCAGGCTGGACACGGCAACCTCCGTCACCTGGTTCAAGCGACTCTCCTGCCTCAGCCTCCCGAGTAGCTAGGATTATAGGCATCTGCCACCACGCCCAGCTAATTTTGTATTTTTAGTAGAGAAGGGGTTTCTCCATGCTGGTCAGGCTGGTCTGGAACTCCCAACCTCAGGTGATCCACCCGCCTTGGCCTCCCAAAGTGCTGGGATTCCAGGCGTGAGCCACCGCACCCAGCGCCACCTAATACTTTTAAAAAAACTTTTAATGTCTATGTTTTTCTTTCCCAAATTGTAATTGGCTTTTTTTGACATAGTCACTGATAATCTAGTAACTTAGGCCTGTTTTGTTTAACAATATCTGTATTTTTGAAACAAAAGTTGAGTATCTTTTTTTTTTTTTGAAACCAGGTCTCACTTTGTCATCCAGTCTGGAGTGCAGTGGCAAGATGTTAGCTCACTGCAGCCTCGAACTCCCGGGTTCAAGCAATCCTCCTGCCTCAGACCCCCAAGTAGCTGGCACTGCAGGCATGTGCCACCATGCCTGGCTCATTTTTGTATTTTTTTGTAGAGACGAAGTTTTGCCATGTTGCCCAGGTTGGTCTCAAAGTCCTGGGCTCAGGTGACCTCCTGCCTCAGCCTCCCAAAGTGGTACAATTACAGGCGTGAGCCACTGCGCCTGGCCTGAAAGTTGAGCACCATTTTGAACATGCTCTCCATATTTACACGGAGGTCATAGTCTTCTTACAACATGGACTCCATGGAAAATAAAATTCTTAACTGATTTGCTTCATATTTCTCCACATTTAATCATTTTCATTTGGTTTTGATAATTTGGTCTGTGGGATCACTTAGAGTAGATTTTACTTCTCTTTTTATCCATCTCTTTGTGATTATTCCTTCCTGTCTACAAAGTTTCCATTGCCTCCATCTGGCCTTCTGTGTCTCCCAGTCCAGAACCACATCTTACATTGTGGTTTGGGAATGTGCTGTGGAGTGCTATTGGGACATCATTGATCTATGACATTGAGCTGGTGGGAATCTTGGCTCAGCTCCTTGCCACTGGAATCTCCTGTGTCCTCCTTACCCCCAGACACATTTTTTAAACTTTTATTTTAAGTTCAGGGGTACCAGTGTAGGTTTGTTACATAGGCAAACGTGTGTCATGGAGGTTTGTTGTGTAGACTATTTCATCACCCAGGTATTAAGCCTAATACCCATTAGTTATTTTTGCTGATCCTCTCCCTCCTCCCACCTTTCACCCTCCAAAGGTCTCCAATATGTGTTGTCCCCCCATTGTGTCCATGTGTTCACATCATTTAGCTCCCACTTATAAGTGAGAACATACAGTATTTGGTTTTCTGTTCCTATGTTAATTTGTTAAGGGTAATGGCCTCCAGCTCCATCCATGTTCCTGCAAAGGACATAATCTTGTTTTTTTTTTTTATGGCTGCATAGTATTTTATAGTGTATATGTATCCATTTTCTTCATCCAGTCTATCATTGATGGGCATTTCCGTTGATTCCATGTCTTTGCTATTGTGAATAGTGCTGCAATGAACATATGCATGCATGTGTCTTTGGAGCAGAACAATTTCTATTCCTTTGGGTATATACCCAGTAATGGGATTGTCGGATTGAATGTTATTAATATTTCTGTCTTTAGGTCTTTGAGAAATTGCCACACTGTCATCCACATGGCTGAACTAAATTACACTCCTAGCAACACTGTAAAAGGATTCCTTTTTATCCACAACCTTGCCAGCATCTGTTGTTTTTTGACTTTTAAGTAATAGCCATTTTTGTCTGGTGTTAGATGGTATCGCGTTGTGGTTTTGATTTGCATTTCTCTAATGATGAGTGATGTTGAGCTTTTTTTCATGTGATTGTTGGCCACATGTATGTCTTCTTTTGAAAATTGTGTGTTCATGGCCTTTGCCCGCTTTTTAATGGGATTGCTTGTTTCTTTTTCTCATGAATTTGTTTAAGTCTCTTATGATGCAGGATATTAAACCTGTGTGGGGTACATAGTTTGCAAAAATTTTCTCCTATTCTGTAGCTTGTCTGTTTACTCTGTTTCTTTTGCTGTGCAGAAGCTCTTTAGTTTAATCAGATCCTATTTGTCAAGTTTTGCTTCTGCTGCAATTGCTTTTGGTGTCTTCGTCATGAAATCTTTGCCTGTGCCTGTGTCCCGAATGGTATTACCTAGGTTGTCTTTTAGGGTTTTAATAGTTTTGGGTTTTACATTTAAGTCTTTCATCCATCTTGATTTAATTTGTGTATATGGTGTAAGGAAGGGGTCCAGTTTCAATTCTCTGCATATGGTTGTTCAGTTATCCCGGCATCATTTATTGAATAAGGAATCCTTTCCCCATTGCTTCTTGTTGTCAGGTTTGTTGAAAATCAGTTAGTTGTAGGTATGTGGTCTTATTTCTGAGTTCTCTATTCTGTTCCATTGGTATATGCCCAGACACATTTTTAGAAGCCATTGGTAAAGGTGCAGTTGCCAGTCATTTTGGTTTTCAGGTTCCTTTTAAGATAAAGAAAAACTTCTCCCAGCATCTGACATTAAGGCATGAGCATGGAAGGGAAAGCCCAGGGGTTCACATGCTGCGGCTGACTTTCTTCCCCACTCAGTGGCCATCCAGTTCCAGCTCCATGGGCCTCTTGTTGAATTTTCTATCTGGCTCATGAGAATGCAGGAGGCATGATTGTAGAGTAAAGCTATGTCTTATTGGAATCTCTGCTAATACTTTACCTGCTAATGCCGAGTGCTTCAAGCAGAGGTATTGGTCAAGAGGTGGACTCCTGGTGCCATCTTAGCTAGAAGTCATGGCTATTTCATGTTTTGCACTTCAATTTTCTCTTCTCCAAAGCAGAGAGGATAGTATCTTCCCTTCTTATTTTAGAGGTTTATCAAGAGAACAAAATGAGATAAAGTATCTGAACATGCTTTGAAAACTGTCACATTTAATAAAAATATTACAATGGAACATTTGAAGTCCGAGGTGATAATTTGCATCTATCTCCAAATACTTAACATGTTGTTAGATGGAAGAAGACTTACCACTTTCAATGCCTTTTACCTGAGCGTACTCAACTTGGAAACTGAGGAAACCAGGCAGTAAACACAAATTTAATGACAATTCAGGGTCACAATCTATAGGATTTATTTTCTCTTTGACACTTGTCAAAAGGCAGTATTTTGAGGGAAGTCTCACGTTTCATGTATTATAGGTTTTTGATACAAATCTGTGAGAAGTTCCTTGAACATTCTGAGTCTATTCAGGAAGTTGGGAAGTACTTTCAGATCATATTCAATGGAGAATAACATGAAAGAGCATGTTTACTTCTCATGTGGCTTTGCAGCTGGAGAGAGGGAAAAAAATAAAAGAACTCTCAGCATACATGTTGGATACAAATAGTCTTGTTTCAGACAGCCAAGTGGTAGGAGTTTATTAAAAGAGACCAGATGTTTCTAGGCAGTGGATGAATTTATTGTTTCATGTTTCATTCAAATCATGCAGAACCTTGAATATGCAATGCTACCAGATGGACCCGACCAGTATTCTTTATGCTGAAAACCCTTCGCATGAGCTGAGGCCCATGTCTCAGAAAAACACTTTGTGGAAATGCAGATCAGCCCAACCAGGAAAGCTCAAGGAACTGAAATTGGGCAGGTCCTATTGGGAGGAACAGGTGCTCCTTTCCATAAATGGTCAGGAGAGGGGGATGCACAGTCCCCCAGGCCAGGCACACAGTGCAGAGAACAGGGCCACCTGTGGAAGATGACAAGGACAGCAACAGGGCTGGGAGACTCTGCAAAGTGGGAAGGCAAAGTACACGGTGAGGACAGAGAGGACATAGAACAAGGATTCTGGGGATAAGTGACAGGCAGCCATACCCGATGCGCCATTGAATGCACAGGAGCACGTGGTTCCAGTTAGGTCCGTCTAGAAGCAGAGGCACAGATTGTGCAAATGCATTGGGTCTCAGGGGCAGACACATGTGCTAGAAGTACAGGAGCAACGCAGGGCCTGGGAAAGCAGAATATGGGAACAAATCAGTTACATTTTTGGGGGGATTCTACCTATTCCAAGGGCGGTACAGTATTCTTTACATTATTTAAACTTGACAATGATTTATAAAATAAACATTATTATCCTTATTATCAAGGTGAAGGAAATGGAGGTAAAGATTAATTGCAGAAGTTAACTATGTATCCACACTTCCTGCAACAACATCTGAGACGCAGTTGGTCTTGGGCAAATACCAATGTGCTTCTCTTATACCCTCTAGACACCCTGATTTCTGAACTCTCAATCCACTTAGGCTGTTGGGCAGAACAATAACATTGAAGAGTGCTCTCTTCACTTTATTAATCTCTGCTTGAAGATTAACATGTTTTAACCTGAACACGTATCTCTCTCTTTGACCATTATTAGTAACAAAATTAAGGAGCATACCTATATTCTGAATTTCCCCAATTCTTTCTTAGGGATACATTTTCAGTATTTTGAGTTACTTTAGATGCCAGTTTGACTTTTTTGATATTCTCTTAATTTGATAATATTTTGTCATATTTAGGCAACACTGATTCACCAGTGTGCCAAGTTCATGTTTACACTCACTTCCATGTAACTAGTACACTGAAGTCACTTATTTTAGTTTCATTTCTGTTATAGCAGCACCTTCCATCCAGGGACCAATTTCTATGTTAGTTAAGATACTGGCTGAGCTATTGTCATAAAGAGATCCAAAAATACTACGGCTTAAGTACGACAGTTTATTCTCTGTGCATGAAAATCTCATAGCTGAGTGAGCGGTCCAGGGCTGTGGGTCAGTCGCCCTGAGATTTTCCTCATACAAGTTTTCTTCCAAAATTGCATAGATTACCTTAAGTAGGTTGATTTCTTTGCTAGTGTTATTGATACATAGTTGTCTTTTTTTTTTTTTAACAAGCCAATTACTTGTATTTCGATTTTTTTTTTTTTTTTTTTTTTTTGAGACGGAGTTTTGCTCTTGTTGTTGCCCAGGCTGGAGTGCAATGACATGATCTCGGCTCACTGTAACTTCCGCCTCCTGGGTTCAAGCGATTCTCCTGCCTCAGCCTCTTGAGTAGCTGGGATTACAGGCATGCGCCACCACGCCCGGCTAATTTTGTATTTTTAGTAGAGACAGGGTTTCTCCATGTTGGTCAGTCTGGTCTCGAACTCTGGACCTCAGGTGATCCACCCACCTCAGCCTCCCAAAGTGCTGGGATTATAGATGTGAGCCACCGCGCCTGGCCTTCAAGATTATTTTCAATTCACCCCACAGTAAACCACAAAGAATGACAAAGCCACATCTACTGACTGCCCTGTAAGCTGTGCACTATCAGAGGGGGCTCTTGCCTGATGCAGTTGACACAGCTCATATTTATGTAGCATGTGATGGCATTTTATATGTGTATTATAAAATTACATATACACCCATTATATATACACCCATACATTTTATACACACACACAGACACCCAAAAACATACACACATCATCTGAAATGTTAAGTGATCTTACATGTTAACTTGTTACTCTAATTCCGTTACCTATATTTTATGATTTCTCACAACCTTTATGGTGGGGCATGAGGGGATCCTATTTATTTTGAAATAGGTTTTGAAAGTTGAAATAGATCATAGGGTCTAATGGTATAACAAAAGTCGGAGTAAAAATAGAAAGTCTCGTCGGGTGGCCTGGTCTGGGTAAGCTTCCTGCTTGAATCAGAATTCAAAAAAGTCCTTCAATGAGGGGAAGGAAGGGCTTGGTATTTGGGATGTGGGAGGATACTAATGTATATGTACACACACACGTGCGCACACGCAGGAGCACCGGGGAAAACAATGAAGAGGAGAAATAGAATGAGAACCTAACAGGCTTGCAGTGAGAAGCTCAGTTGGAGAGGAAATGGGGGGAGGAGTAAGAATAAGGTTATTTTTTCTTTCACGTTGGGTTGGAAGCTGTTTAAAGGTTTGCTTTCTACATTGGTGCTTTTATGGGAGAACTGGACTTTGGCACTGCTGTGAGAGCTTTGTAGCACCATAGGAAAGATAAGCGCCTGCCTCTTCCGGGAAGCATTTGAACTGCTGGAGACCGTAGAAGGACCACCTTGCAAAGGAAAGGGATTAATTAATGGCTCAAGAAGTCAGGCAGGCTTCGTTTTTTTTCTTTTTTTTTTTTAACCTCGAAGCAGGCTACTGTCTAGAAAGAACCTGCAACTGTAGCCCATCTGGATTCCAAGCTTTGCAGAATGGATTCTGTGAATGTTAGGTATCTAATGGCTTTCCCTCAGTTTCTTCGTTTGTCAAGCGACCTTAAAAATAATTTCCCAGCCTGTTCTACAGGACGTGTTTAAAAGTGTCTGGCAAGTGGTTAAAATAAATCCGTAAACTCTTCTCTGCATATTTTTCTCTGTATTTGGAGAGCTACCCATTTCATCTCTGTCTTTGTAGCAAGTATTAATAGAACAGTGGCATGAACAGAGGAGGTGCTCAAGTCAATGCTTCCTGAGAGAAACATGAAAGGAAGCATCAGGGAACCTTTCAGGAGTTTCAGCTTTCATTTCCAGAGGCATGGGTGAGAATACTTCCTTTACTCCTCAAAGAAAGGCCTATGATAGAAAACATTTGCAGGAGAAATGCTTTGGAAGTTCCGCCTTTTTCAGAAACAACTTTTAGGAGGCAATGTTACAACTTCAATTTCATTATACCCCAGAATTTGTGATTTCTGAGGACACCTACTCTTGGTTTTTAAACCTGATTTAAAATAGGTGACTCTTGCATTTAATCACAGCAAAGCTTAAGAAAAAATACATCCTATTATTTTAATAGGTGGAGATACCTATGTTAAAACATGCAAATATCTGCAAGATGAATACCTGAAGAAAGAATATGGTCTTAAAAAGTTAGGAATCTTGTAAGGATACTAAAGAAAATGTACTTTTAAAAAATTACTACATGAGAAAGCCTTCTGTCTTTCTTATTTCTAGTCACATTTTTCTTCTACTGAGAGGTGACACATTGCATTGCACCAATAGTTTTGAGGTCTTAATTCCATCCAAATTTTCCCACATTTGGGAAGTAATACACAACTTTACTTATCTTTAAAATCCCATAGGTAGTTTCTTTAAATCTGTGTAAGTACTATCCTCTTTGTAAAAACACATTTAAGACGAAAGGAACTCTGTGTATGTATTATTCATTAATTCACTCTCTTCTTTGGGTTACAAGTAAGAGGATCACCTAATTACCCTCATGTGCCGGGTGTACAGTGAGCAGTGCCTCCCACAATGCAGTCACAGAAGTTAGAAAACATGTTTCTCCTCTGGGATTGTTTCTACAACTTGGGCTCCCTACAGAAGGGCAGGATGACCTTTGGGGTTCTTGCTTGGAAATGTTAGATAAGGCTCCTAAAACCAATTTTCTGAATGAACTCCAATCCCATGGAGTCTAAATCCATGCCATGGTTTGGTGGCACCCCGGCCCCCTGGGAGAGAGGAGCTTTGTCCCAAGGAAGACAAAGCCTGGCGCATTCTCTCAGGGAAGACTCAAGGCAAAGAGTTCAACAGCTCCTGTTGTTTCTCCTGGGTCTGGACAAGGGGCATTCTGTACCTGTGGCTGACAGGCAGGAAAGGGATCATCTTTCCAGCGCAGCACTAGGGCTGTGGGAGGACGTGTAAAGTGCACTTAAAAAAATAATCATTAGAGGCCTGTAATAGGTGTCCCCTTTTGGAACTTCGATGCTGTGATGACCGTTTAAGGGGAGAAAAGTGTGGGCTTTAGAGCTTCTTCGCTGCTTCTCACAAACACAGGTTCACTCACAACAGCCGGAAAGGGGTCTTTTGTAAATAAGATGTTTCACTTTTGTTGTTGGAACTGCAATGTCTTTGCTTTGCGACATGTGCTCTTTCCTTACTAAACTCCATGCAGGAATGCTGGAGATTCAATGGATGGGTTTTTCCTGTCTCTCTCTCTCTTTCTCTCTCTGGTTTGTTTTTGTATTTCAATTTTTAACTTGATCTGAATAGCTATTCCACAACAGTATGCGGTAAACATTATTTGAAGTTTTATTAACTACTACATACATTGTTTTTTGTAAAGTAGTCTCTTATGCTTTTTAACCGTAAGTTAAATAATTTGTTGTTTGGCCCATATGTGTTAATAAGGTGTACTACTGTCAGAGACAGGCAGAAGCTCCGGACTCCAGCCTCAAACCCTCTCCCTGACACTCTCCCTTCTCATGGAGTTTGGAAAATTATTTGCAGAGCCTTCAAAGGCATTCATAATGCTCAGTATGTAAGATACTTACAGATGTTAGAAATAGAATGACATATAATCAGGAGAGTTCCTGCTTCACATCTTCTCTGTCTTAATGCTTTCATTTGTGATTGCCAAAGTGTTCACAACTTTTAGCAAAAGAAGTATTGACACAATCTGCATATCAATGGAGTTTTTCTTAATATGAGCAATAAAGTTATTAAAATGCTGGTTAAAATGCATGATCTCCAGTTCCATTTCGCAGACATGTTTTTAGCCTCTCAGGGGTGAGAGATTAAGCTCCGGGGCATTTGAGGGCTTCAGCAAGGAGTACATGGCTCATTTCAACTCTGCCCTCACTGCTATAAACAACTTTAAAAATTCTGGTTCAGACTCAGTTAACGAGCGGGAGTCAAGTAAGAAAAGAGTAACTTACCTCCATTATCTCTCTTTGAATGGTTTTTCCTTACAGCGCAATCAAATCCACATGGGATGACAGTTTTCTGTCACAGAGGGCATTTATAAAAATATGACCGACACATAAAAGAAAATCTTAAAAGTGATTAAACAACTGGCAATTAGTACTAAAAGAATAGCATTTTAGGCATGCATACAATTCTTCACAGGAGTACTTGGATTACTTCAGCTTATAATTAAAGGAAGGTTCATTTGCAAAAACACTTTGAAGTATATCATGTTCTTCTTTATTTATTTAACCAGCAAGTATTTTTTAAGCACTTGTATTAATACATAGTTACTTTTTTTCTTTTGTGATTCTTCACCTCCCCCCACTGAACTATAGGCTATAATAATCACTGAGCATTGAAGCACTTGAAGGAAGTGTCAGCTTCATTGGGTTAAATACTCTGATTTCATTAAGAGGAAACTGAGGCTCTGAGAAATAAGTGGCTTTTGAGGTTTACAATGTAAATCATTGGCAAAACCGGTGTTTTTTTCATTATGTTTCTTTTTATTAATCACTACCTTGTCTTAATCCATACTATTTCTATTGTATACCTTTTTCCCTTGGGATTTTGGTCAACAGAAAGCTTTTGAGTTGATAGATGGGAACCCTTAGATTCTAGAATTATAAACCAGCAAGATGGTGGACGGTTAGATTTTAGAAAGGGAGTTTGTTGTTGTTGTTTTTGTTTGTTTTTTATTTTTAAGAGACTCCTTGCCACTCTAATAACATGCACATTTCAACTAGTGTTCAGGAGACAACACTCTCTAATTTCGTATTCAGCCCTAAGAAATGGGAATAGTGAGATTTCTAACATGGTGATAGAAGCTCTGTGTGTGTGTGTGTGTGTGTGTGTGTGTGTCTGTGTGTGAGTGTGTATGTGTGCAGGTGTGTAGGCATGTGTGTGGTGTGTCTGTGCCTCCATGAAGGTGTGTGCACATGTGTATATGGCACTGCGGCTGCCCTTTCTAGAAGAAAGTCGAGGCAACAACTTTCTCCCAGTGATCATCAACTCGTGTCTGGTGCAGCATAGAAAGTCCACATCCAGCAGAAGGCTGGGAGAGCCCTTTCTACCCTGGGCTGGGATGGACTGGCTGGAGACATGGCCCTGTGTGTCTCTGTGATATGTATAAACTTTTGAGGGAGGCCACATGCACAGTGAATTTGATCTACATCGTTCCCAAAATATTTTTCTTTCTTTTTAAATTTCTTTTTAATTACAAAAAATAGAGATGGAGTCTCGTTATGTTGACTAGGCTGGTTTTGAACTCCTGGCCTCCAGTGATCCTCCTTCCCCGGACTCCCAAAGTGCTGGGATTATAGGCATGAGCCACCTCGCTCAGGTGTTTACAAATATTTGAAGGACTATAATTTAGAAAGCTAACCTTGCATAGCCTACAGCTCTGGGCACGAGGTATACAGAGGCAAATGTTGGTTGACCACAAGGAAAAGTTTCCCAAAATTTAGAATTTTATATAAAAAAGTGAACTTCTTTGTGAATTCATGAATTGGCCATCATTAAGGTTTTAAGAGGCAAAGAAAGCCTTTGCATTGGAGATGTTTTAGAATAGCGCTCTGCCTTGGGTGGGGGCTCTGCCTGATGACCTTGCTACAGCCGATTCCTGGGTCCCTGTCCCAACACAGCAAAGCAGGCCCCATGCCCAGCCCACACAGCATGCACCTGCTGGGTCAAGGAGAAGGAGAAAGGCCTCTGCAGCCTGCTTACCATCAAAGTTGGCTATCCAGCAAGCAGAGAGGTCCCGCTCATCAACATTCCTCCCAGCTCCACGGTGACAAGCTCAGTGGCAGTGGATCAAAAGGGGCCTGCCTGGCACACGCAGATGGGCTCCAAGCATGGTTCTGTGGACAGAATGAGAATTGGAAGGATTCCAAATATATGTTCTTCAGGCTACCATGTGAGCCGACATTTGAATTCCCAGAGTCTTAAAATTCTTCCTACTGAGCTTGGCACTGTGTCATAGTAATCCTAACCCCCACAGCAGTCATTCTAATGAACACTAGCATTACCAATGCCGTAAGTGTTCCATCATCTAGATCCCAGGTCTGAACCATGTTGAGAGTGTAGGAGCTATGGGCACCCGTTGCCCAGTGGCCCTTTGGTTAGCGATCAACAAGATCAGTATGTACTAAGAGAGAGTTTTGTGCTGCTCTCACTATTTTATTATGATAAATTACATTACATCGTGTTATATTATAGTCTATTTATATTACATACTATGATAATATAGTATTTTACCTTTATTTATATTACTTATGCCATTATATTACAGATGATCATGTCTTATTATGTTATAATATTATCATATTGTATTATTTTAACACCCGAAGAATGGGGAAATGGCATAAGGAAAAGCTACACAGTCGCTCCGTTGGAGATCTTCAGAGTAAAATAATCGAAGGAAGGTAGCCAGGTCCTTTCACACCGGAGCATCTGCACACCCATACATTGGCCAGGAATGATGGATGACCTGTCTCGCGCTGGCCTCATGAAGGGCTCTGGGCCCTGTGATGGCTGGAGATGGATGGAGACTCAGAGGAACTTTATCTCTAAGGGTCCAGGTGGTAAGGCCTGTGGTGTTGCTTGGAGACCACAGTACTGATCTGGGTTTAAGCTGGCCTGGTTCACATTTTCATCAGTGATAGATGACAGGTTCTGGGAGGGCAACTGACCTCTATTAAATTGTTTCAGAACCAGAAGGCCTAAATCCTTATACGTTCAATTCACGATCGCTTTACATTTTCTTTCTGTGCCTCCTTTGCCTTCTCCTTCTTCCCCGTATGTCTCCTTTCCCTTGTCGTCTGCCCACTCCCACTGGTGGTCCTTCCTTTCTCTTCCCTCCTGGTCCTCCCAGGACATCCTTGAGGGCCCTGCCTCAGTCCCTGCACTTCTCGGAATGCTGCTGTGTCCAGCTCTCCAGGGGCCTGAGAGAACCAACTTTCAGCAGAACCTTCATGTCTCATTCTGAGAAGGCAAATGCCTTCCGGCATGATTTCTTTGATTCTCATGATTCTCATTGTATAACATTTTGTGACGCACGGTGTGTGTCTCCCTCATTAATGTAACCTGAGTGTCACCAGCACAGGACCCTTGTCAGACGGTCTCTACTGTGTCATATGTGCAAGCTGGCCACATGTTGAGAGAGACAGATTAGAATTCCATAGAAAGAGAGACAGAAAAAAAAACAGAAAAGGAAAAAAGGAAGGAAGGAAGGAAGGAGAAAGAAAGAAAGAAAGAGGGATAGATTTGAATTTCACAGCCTTAGCTAGTTGTCCCTATGCTTTTCACCCAAGAAAGAAAGAAAAGGAGAGACAGAGAAACAGAAAAGGAAAGGAAAGGAAAAGAGAGCTTTAGTAATAAATTTTTAGTTAAACGTTAATCTGAGGTCTTTCATGAAGGGCAAAAAAAAAAAAAAAAAATGTAGCCCTATATTCTGGCACTGTAGATCAAGCTTAGTAAGCAGAATGATCTCTTTAAAAACTCTTTGCTGGGCTGGTATGGAGGGCTGCATATTTTCTCGTGAGACAATGGCAGATTTTACGCAGCCTGGGATCCAGTGACTGTGATGTATTTTACCTTAACTTTGACAAAGACTTTAGTCCTTCTGCGTTGGAAAGTATGAGAGGACTTTCAAGCACTTCACAAATATGTCCTTCTTATGATGCCTTTCCATTCAGAAAGTATCAGAAAAAGCATCTTCCCCAAACAGTGTGTGCGCAAGGTAAAGACAGGTGGAGCAGGTGCAGCCCCAGTGGTAAGAATGCGAATCGGAATTCTTTTTTAGCAGAGGGGTTTGCAGATCACACAGAGACATGGAAACATCACCAACGACAGGACACGTATAGCAGGTTGCTCAGAAGTCTCCAGAAGACCTGTGAGGGAAAAGGAAAAGTTAAATAGGGCACCAATCACTGTACCAACTGAAGAAGGGCAGGTGTGCTTAATGCGTTTACTGGGCAGTTCTGATTCCCATCCCAGGACGGGTGCAGTGGATGCCCAGAGCTCCCTCTTCAAAGCCTCCTCAGGGCTTCAAGAGTCTCCTGCATAGAGGGCCTGGTTTGAGCACTGCAAAATCTTTAATGTAGGCCTCTTTTGTTTCTGCTCTTTTCCTTCCCACTTTCATTATATTCCTTCATGAAATGCTCCTAAGTAATATTTTGAAATAATCCAGATATTTAATTTCCTCAAAAGTACTTTTAGTGATGTCTTCCATTACTTCTCTGAGCTCTTAATTAAAAATGCTGTCAAACACCTATTCCTTGAACACTACCACATTCTCATATGTTCATATTAACAAGAAGATACTTTGTCAAAGAATATAATAAAATTACAGATTTAAAGAAAATCTTCAGCATCCTATTCAATTGAATCCTGCTTGCTGTATCCCACATTCAGTTTTTAAAGGAAATATACCATTGCATTTCAGACACATAACTTTTTTGAGAACATGGAATATAGACTCTATAACAAAGTGCATGCTTCCCTTAGCACAAACTTCTGGTTGTACTCTTTACTTTTTCTCTTGCAGTAAAATAAAAACTGTCCAAAGCTTAGCAGAGTTAAAGCAAACTAACTTGAAACACATTTCACGATAAGTGATAGACCAGGCTCTTTCCCTCTCTCAAATCCTAGCCCCAGGGTTTCTTAGAATTCAGTTGATTGTTTCTTTGGGGAGGAGGATCCCTCCACATTCCTCCTGAAGCTTTTGGACTCTCCCTTTTAATCCTTTCTCAGGTGGTTCAAGTCACAAAGACGCCCTCTGCCTAAGAGCAAGCTCCCTCTTGCCCCAGCGAGACGCCTCCTGACAGTGCCTGACGGCTTCGCTTCAGGTGCTGGGGCTGAAGTGGCCTTCAAATTTCACAGGGCCCTTTGGGTTCCTAGTGCTCTGCTGGTACCTTCTGTGCCCCGATCTTGTGTCTAGAAAAGGCCATCTTTGCCGGGTGCGGTGGCTCACGCCTGTAATCCCAGCACTTTGGGAGGCCGAGGCAGGTGGATCACGAGGTCAGGAGATCGAGACCATCCTGGCTAACACGGTGAAACCCCGTTTCTACTAAAAATACAAAAAATTAGCCGGGCGTGGTGGCGGGCGCCTGTAGTCCCAGCTACTCGGGAGGCTGAGGCAGGAGAATGGCGTGAACCCGGGAGGCGGAGCCTGCAGTGAGCCGAGATCGCGCCACCGCACTCCAGCCTGGGCAACAGAGCGAGACTCCGTCTCAAAAAAAAAACAAAAAACAAAAAACAAAAAACAAAAAAAAAAAAAGAGAGAGAGAGAGAAAAGAAAAGGCCATCTTTGTGAGAAAAAGACCCTATCCTTTCAGTGAGTTTCTTTAAACGGCCCACGTTTGAGCTGCTCTTCTCCAAGTGCTAAAGCCACGGCACATTCTCTTCTCTGTCGTGGAGGACGCGGATTCTGCAGCATCCTTCACAGAGATAAATAAAAAAATGCGGGTTGTAGATCCTCAGAGGAACTTACGCGAATTTTTTAAAAAGAAAATAAAACCAGGATAGATCCAGCAGGGAACCCAGGTGTTATCATTTCAGGGGTGCAAACACTTCGTCCACGCTCTATCTTACTGTGTGACCTCAGGGAATGCCTCATATCCTGTCTGGGCCTTGGTGTTTTCACCTATAGACTAGGCCAGGTAAAGGAGAAATTCCTACACCATTTTATAGTCTGCAAATGGAATTGGCCTGTAAAAATATCACACAGTCCCCTTTCCTGGCGGATGATGATGAAGAGCTGAATTCTATCACTCCATCAGTGGGATGTGATGTAGGGTCTCTGAACCAAAGAGCCGGTGCAGCGGTGCCTCGGGGGCGGTTCTGTGCAACTGGAAGAACTTTAGGGTGATCTCTCTTCCTCCTCCCTCAATCTCTGTGTCGAAAAGCCCCACAGAGTTTGCTGGTTTTTCATGCCAATGAGCCAATACATTACATTGCATAGAATTTCCATTAATAGTCTGTAGTTTTCATTTTGGAGACCAAAAATGTCAGATTTAGGAGAATTCCTATCTGGTCCTGTTGTATAATTTGCATCTACAGAGATAAGTATGAATGTGAGGCGATTTAAACGTGTCTACCGAGCGCAGGGTAGGAAATCACTTCCTTCTTTCACAACGCTCACGTCCAAAACTGCCCGTGTCAGTCCACCAGGGGGCGCTGCCTCACCGAAAGGGGAGGGCGGTGCGGCTCCCATCACTTGACTGACGCCAGCCCAATGGAAGGCGTGGGCCCCAGGCCACCAGAGCTTTCTCCAGGGGCGTCGTGTTAGCTATGGCAGGAGAATAACATTTTTGAAAAGTGCAAATACAACATTTTGATTTAAAAATGATTGTCTATGAATACATAATTTTCATAGCTATAGTAATAGCAAATTATAGCAAATCCATTATAATAGCATTCTGATACATATCAAGTTTCATTAAGTTAAAAAAGAAGTCTGGAAAACAGGGAAATATCTGCCTAAAATATAGTTGTCCATCTTGAAAATGTTCTGTCAGCTCTTTCTCCAGTAAAGTCCATCAAAAGTAACAGAGCCGGTGGACAGTGCATAGGAATCCCGGCTTTTTTAATCTTAATGATGACATTTGGTTGTGTCTGTGAAAGAGAACACAGCTAGATTTAATGCCATTCTCAGGCCTGCAGATTCCAAGTTTGAAATCATAAAAATACCATGATTTCCCATAATTTTAATGTATGACAAAATATTTACATGATACAAAGAAAAACAGGAATAATCTACATGGCTTGTGGGTTGGAACAATCAGAACATCTGGATATGAAATGGCTGGAAGAGAAAACCATTTTCAAAAGCATACAAATGAGCAATATATTCCGTACACTCCAACTTGTTCTGAACTTAAACAGTATCAAAAGTATGGTTTCCCTTTTGGCAAATCTTGTAGACAGTTAAAATAAACATCTAAGTACTATTCAAAAAAAGCTAATTTGTTTGTTACTTTGAAACACAAGTTTTTTCAGGTGTACTCTGTACTTCTTTCTCATACCAAATGACTTAAGCTGGGCTCATGTTTAACTTCAAAGAATTTAATAGAAAATCTAAACTTTGTCTTATTAGGATACCACAGAGAACTTATTTTAGAAAGTTTGGACACGTAGAAGTTTGTTTTTAATTTTAGTGTCCAACTAATATAAAACCAAGGCACTGTTTTTGAAAGTATTAAAAATAAGCATCATGAAAAATATAGGCAGTCTATCTTTCTTTTTTCCCACAACTTCTGTGACCCAGACATATTACCTTTGCCATCCTGCACAGTTACCTGAGATTCCTTTCTTCTTGTCTTTTTACTCACCCTGGATGCTTATATTTGTGTGTGTGTGTGTGTGCGTGTGTGTGTGTGTGTGTGTCTATGGGTGTAGGTGCATAAGGAAAAGATCACATAGCAAAGAAAAAGTAGACTTGGATTTATTTCTAGAATTGGCTTAAAACCTGGATCTTTATTTTCCTAATGTAAAAGAATTAGACCTAGTGGTCTGCAATAGTCCTTCCAAAACTCAAACTCACTGGGTCTATGAAAATTAATGTTGTATAATCGCGTGACCACTCCCTTGTTCCCTAGAGATATGGTGGCATGCGGTACCAGCAGTAGGCTAGCTCTGGAACATAGAAGTTGCCTGGTAAGTATGTGTTTGTTGAATGAATCACCACCATTGGGTCTCTAAGCTCTAATATTATTATCGCCTGGGGGCAGTCCTTATCTCTCTCTGTCTCTCCTGCCTATATTAAATCATGTTTCAAAATAACAATGCTCTTCCCTTGTTGCCTCTGTGGTGCAGGAGCTCTTAAACTTTAATAATTCTTGCTTTCCACCACCATATTTTTCTAAAAAATGTAAAATGTATATACACTGAAATCAAGAATTTGTTCTGGTAGATCCTGAAAAGAAGGTAGCATGGGTTAGTGAATAGATTGAGAGTCAAGAGAGGGGTCAGGTAAACACAAACGTGCTGACCCTCCACAGCAACACACACCTGACAATAGAGACTCCATGTTTCAGCAGAGATTTGCTGCTGGAAAAGAAGACATTATTCTCGGTCATTTGTTCCTGGCCATTTTCCTTATTTCCTTAAAAATATATCTTTAAATAATAAAAAGAAAAAGCAAGTGTGATCACAGAGATGAGTAGACCCTGTCAAATTGTTTCTGTGCAGAAAACACCTAGTAGCTAAGGAGCTATATGAACATCACATGCTTAAATGGGTACTTATTAATTTGTCATGCCCTAGGACAGAATTTTTAGATAATCCGAAATATACAATGCATACCATACCTAAAGAGGGGTTTTAATCCCATTCAGAATCATTCTTGCCCCATCCATTTAAGAAATAAACTTTACAAAATTTGGCCATTTAAAAAAATGCGCAGGGGCCGGGTGTGGTGCCTCCCGACTGTAATCTCAGCACTTTGGGAGGCCGAGGTGGGCAGATCACCTGAGGTAAGGAGTTTGAGACCAGGCTGGCCAACATGGTGAGACCCTGTCTCTACTAAAAATACAACAACAACAACAACAAAATTAGCCGGTTGTGGTGGTGCACGCCTGTAATTTCAGCTACTCAGGAGGCTGAGGCAGGAGAATCACTTGAAGCCAGGACGTGGAGATTGCAGTGAGCCAAGATCATGCCACTGCACTGCAGCCTGGGTGACAAAGTGAGACTCCATCTCAAAAATACAAAAACAAAAACAAAATACACAGACCTGTCTTGGTATTTTTCCATATAGATTGAGAATAGAGCAGAATTTGGCCTCAGAATGCTTATTCCTGATCTCTCATGCATCCTAACAGTATATTACAAAACAAACAAAGAAACAAATTGTTCTGTTCTTTTGGAACTTGGTAATTAAAATAAACCAAATAACTATTCTAGGTGCGTTAACCCCAAGTGTCAATGTCTGAGACAACAGTCACAAAGTTGGCTACCCTCCAGTGTGGGTATAAGAGCTGAATATATAGTAATAAGGAATGCTAACCTAGGCTATTAATTTCTTTTTATATGCCGCTGTTTATTTCACTCTTCCTTGCCTTTCTCCCTTCTTGTTTTTGGTTTTGTTTCGTTTTGTTTTTTACTTTGTTTAACCAGGAAGCTGGTTTTAGACTCCCTAAGGGAGTCTTAGGGAGATTTAGAGGGTTTGGGGAAGAGGTGAATATAACAGAGAAAGGGACTTGCAGGATATGAGGATTTTTTTTTGAACTACAATCAGAATCAATTTTCTATATTGGGGAGTTCCTACCACTGCGTATGATTCTAAGTAGGAGGCAGACAGCATTTCCTATCACAGAAGCAAAAAGAGAAGGCCCATTTTTCTGCGTCCAGGGAAGCTCTGGCAAGGGCCCCAGCAGCGACAGCCTGAGGCAGTGGTAGGGGCTTCGTGGGGTCTCCTGTCCCTTCCAGGCCAGAGTCTCCTGCCTGTGCTCCTGAAAGCCTTGTCTCCTTTTGGTCTCATCCATCTTGGCCTGGGTCTGCAGGTTTCTGGGTCATTCGGCACCTTAACCAACCAAATTTCTTTTAGAATAAAATCAGCTGGCATTAATTTTACGGCTTGTAAAGAAAGACTATAACGTCTGTTAGAGAAACAAATTTGCTTTCCATACTCCACCAACACTGCACACATGGATGTTTCTGGAGAACAACATGTTAGCCCCTCACTGAGCCCAGTTTTAATCCATAATCCATAACCTCAAATGAATCCTCAATGCCCAGCAATCATGGCAGCTCCATGACCCAGCAATTCTCCACTATCAAGAACCTCTTCGCACCCTTAAGAGGTTTCATTTATATGGGTAGTTTCTATTGGAATTAACTATATTAAGAATTAAGACTGAGAACTGTTGGAATATTTATTTATTATAAACCCACGACATGTGAACACAACATATTTTTACGAAAATTTAGTGAAAAGAACAGCTTCGAGGTTTGCCAGTCTCTTTGCTGTCAGGCTGAATGCAACGTAGCTGGGTCCCATATCCTCCATTGATTTGTTGCAACAAGTGGTTAGGTTGAAGTAGATTCAGAAAGATGCGAGGATAATTTTAGCAACCTTTTATGATACTTGTGTATATCCTTCTCTGATATTACAAAGAAATTTGAAGAATATAAATTTCTGAAAGGTGAGTTGCAGTGAGGAAAGACTGGAACTACATCAGTGAACTTTTTGTCCTCCGTTGCACTAGTCTGTCATGGACTTTCAATGCGTCTTTCATCTATGTGAGATTTTGTAACATCATGCACTGGCCCCTTAGAAAACATTGGTTCACCGAGTTATCCAGATTTTCCACATGTCCACATATTTCATTATCCAATGGCAAAAATATTACACACTGGTTATTATCACTGCCCATCTCATCAGAAATATCTTCAAGTGGAGAGACACGGTTAGGCTCAGATGAATGGATACAAGTTTTCCATGTTTCTGACCTTCACTCAAAAGTTGAAATATTATCATTGTCAATAAACATAGCCAGTTGTTTTTTCTTGAAATGACAGGCTCGCTTCATTCATTTTCAAGAAAATATCTGCCACATCCCCAGGTCAGAGTGGCCGGTTTGTCTGTCAGTCTTCTTTTCAAACAAAAAGTGTCCAATTCAGCTGGAAGCTCAAATACTTGTCGAGACCTTTTCCTTGACATGAGCGTGATAACCATCATGCTTTGGCACACAGGGAAGTGCTCAAAACACACCTCACACTTATCACACAGAGGAGCAAAAAGATATGTACATAAGTGTTGACATTCAATCATATTTATAATCTTTATATATACCTCATGGGTAGTAAGGGAAACTGGAATATGTGTATGTGTGTCTATGTATTTACATGTTTTTTCATTGCAAAGGCATGGCAGGAAGAGCACAATGGCCATTAGAACAATTCGGTTCTGCTGCCTCCATTCGGCTTGGGCCAGCCGTTTTACTCATCGTTGTTTTTGCAGTGCAAACATCAACACGATGAAACAAGCAAATAACATCTTAATTTTCTTATAAAAGTAGTTTTGACTTCGTAGATGTCTTGTAGAAGTCTCGAACACCCCAGGGATCTGCAGACCTGCCCTCCTAGCCCAGGGCAGCCATCTAGAGCTGCAGATACCTCCTTCCTCTCATTCATTTCTATCTGGTAATCTGATTCCATGTTACCTTTAGATGCAATCTGGAGAGAGCTTCCATCTGCACCATGAGCCCATGCCATCTTCTGACTCCTGGAGCTACAGTGAAGATATATTTTGTATTAATGCTTAACTTCTTCATTTCAGTTGCCATTGAGGTAGCCTAATAACATTCATAAGTAAATACTGGATTTTAGTTTGCAATAGAAAAACCTTCCATGTAATATAATATGTCTATACAATTAATAATTAATTACTTTGTTAAAATATGTATCTTTAAATAAATAAACATTGGTAGAGACCATGTTAAGCATGTCTGAGTTGAAGCTTTCAAAAAAATAAAGTCTTTTATTAAAAATTTTTAAATAAAATAGATTATAAGGTAGAACATTGCTTGAAAGAGTCATATTTTAACAAAATTATTTTAAATTTTTTGGCATACACTCCCAATTATTTTAAATAGTTTCTCCAAATGGGGACTATTTGACATAGTTCGTATATACTAGCACAGAGGGGCCAGCAAATCCTGCTAGCAAAGCAAAGCCCATGCCCTGCACCCTGACCGCAAGAGCTGTGCAAGAGGGTTGGACATAAAAGGAGCGATCATAGGAACTTCAGCCGGGGTTGGACAGGCAAACACACAGCATGGCCACCTTAAGCTAACTCTGTCAGTACTGCTGGATTCCTTGGTGAAAAGCAGGATGGAGTGGGGAGATTTGGTCAAGGATGAAATTGAATACTTTGGGAATTGTAATACGCCCGAGTCACTCAACCCACCTTTTAAGAGCCTTTAGACCATCTGGGGTTGTTTGGGGCACGTGAGGGTGGAGCGTGGCTTTCTTTTCACTGTGGGGCTACTTTGCCCTTGGGAGAGCTTCTCACATCTGGTAAGACACTGGCATATGACTCCATCTACAAGAGGACATATTTTCCCCGAGGAGGATTCGCGCTTGCAATCAACGTTGCAAACAGCTCAGGGAACAACTCAGTGTTGATCATGTGAAACTACCCTTCACCTCTCCGTTTTTAATGATTTTTTTCTCCTTGCATCAGTGACAGTCAACTCAACCACATATCCTTCCACATGATCTATTCAGTCATTTTATTCTGTTCTGAAGTCTGGCATTCAGTCATTCAACAAATATTTGGTAAATTGGAAAGTTAGTCTTCCAGGAAGTTTCACCATCCTGAGACTTTTGTTAGATCAGGTAACCCACTAGAGAGAGGAGAAACACATAGTTTATCATTTAGTAGGAAACACCTGCAACTGGATTATTGCATGACTGCATTTGTCTACACAATATAATTTTTACCAAACATTTAAAAATAATGAGTAATGTAGGTTTTATATTAAAAAAGCATAAGCAGTTTTCAAAATAAGGATGTGGCAGTAATATCGAGGCTGTATTGCATTTAAGTGGGCCAGGTTCACACACATGGCTAGAACAGCAAAGGAGTGATACGCACAATTATGCTTGTCTCTTTAAAATTCCGTGGCTCCTAATAGCAGAATCATCTGCTCACGCCATCTGCCAGCTGTGAAGTGAATGAAAATAGCACGTGCAGGTACCGTAATATACAATCTAATTAGTGTACTAAACTTTAATTTATTGGTGAAATTGTAAATATAAAAACAATTATAATTTAACAAATCTGTTCCTTTGCTGCTTTAATGAACACTCTGCATGTGCTGGGTTACTGTGTGTAGTTTTCTTTTTTCTATTGTATTGCAAGCTACCATCCTTAATATATCACAGGGACAATGAAATTGCACTGTGCACTGGTCCACTCATTTTCTCTGCATTTGCAATCATAATCGGAATGCACTCGACAATGGAACAGCTTCATTGCAAATAGAAGTAAAATTGAAAAGTTCTTTGCCAATTTGGCATTAATTCTGAGGACATCTTGAGGGCTTACCAGAGATAAGACGTCTCTGATGGCTTTTCAGCCTTTGAATAGAATAATTTAAAATAATCTCTGTCCAGTGACTGCTTTCCCTAGACTTTTCCTCCTTTTCTCTCCTGCTTCCCCTTTTTCAAAATGTTTCATTTTTTCCCTCTGTTCCTCCTGCACTTCCTTTTCCTCGCCACCTCCACCTTTCCTCCTCCCGCTCTTCCTCTTACTTCTTCTTTTCTTCTTCCTCTTTCTCCTTCATGAAGCTGGGGATACTGGCTATCACCATCCATCTGAATAAGAGACATGTTAAGAAGTGTGGACTGTTGAATGGGTGTCATCAAATACTTTTGCACATTAATGTGAAAACAATCTTTTAGTTAAATGGTGGTATCTTTTTTTTTTTTTTTTTGAAACGGAGTTTCACTCTTGCTGCCCAGGCTGGAATGAAGTGGCGTGATCTCAGCTCACCGAAACCTCTTCCTCCCAGGTTCAAGCGATTCTCCTGCCTCAGCCTCCCTAGTAGATGGGTTTGCAGGCATGTGCCACCATGCCCGGCTAATTTTGTATTTTTAGTAGAGACGGGGTTTCTCCATGTTGGTCAGGCTGGTCTTGAACTCCTGACCTCAGATACGCCCGCCTCAGCCTTCCAAAGTGCTGGGCTTACAGGCGTGAGCCACCACGCCCGGCTGGTGGTATCTTTTATAGAAAGGGATTAGATAATTCCATATCAAATTTGATTATTTGGGGAACATGGGATTATGTGGGCGAAATTAAGTTGGATTTTGCATTGCACGTGAGCTAAGACTTTCATGTTCCAGATTCTAAATGTGCTCTAAAAAGTGTTATTCACTAGGCAAAATAGACCTTGAATAAAAAAAATGTTTTGGAGATGGACTTTTCTGTTATTTAAAGACCTACCATAGGTTTGTTCACTCTTTATGGCTTCCTATATGGCCTTACACATAGACAGGACAGATGACTGCCCCTGTGATTTACTGTCACTGTTTAAGGAGTGCCCTGAAACTCAAGGCATGCCTGGATATACCATGCTTTCATGGGGGTTGGCATAAGCTTGGACTTCTGGCTAACACTCCATGTAATAGATGGGGATAGTGTGTTTGGACCGACTAAAAACAGGGTTTTGTAGAAGGAAGGCAGGACATTATAGGGTAACAGAGGTGGTGGAAAGCTCCTCAGAGGAAAAATAAGAATTAAGTCAAGGGAACAACAGTTTCAATAAACTATACCTGCCTCTCCTTTGTACCCGGGGTTGGTTCAGGGTTTTCTACTGTCATGGAAACAAGAACCAGGCAGTCGGGGTGTGTGGCGGTTTAAAAAAATGTCCACCATTGTTTGCTACACTGCCTTTCTTGCGCTGGAGATTAATTCCTCCCACCTCACCTGTGGTAGAAAGGAAAAGTGTGTGATTTCTGAGACAAGTCAGAAAGTTACCTCTGTTTCCCCTCCCTCACTCTCAGATCACGTGCCTGGAGGGGGCCAGCCACCTTGCCTAAGGGACTGTCTCTCCAGCCCTGTGTGTGCACCATTGTGGAAGCACCTTCTCCAGCTCTCCAAGCCTTCAAACATCTGCAGCTCTGGCCAACACTCTGTCCGCAGCTTCTTAAGAGACTCTAAGCCAGAACCATGTGACCAAGCTTCTTCTGAATTCCTGACCCAAAGAAACTGTCAGATAATAATATTTGTTGTCACTACCAATTAAGTTTTGAGGTAATGGTTATGCAGTAACAGATAACATGGGCTAAACTCCCCCGGCTCTATGTCCAGCTCTCCTATGTGATAGGGACACATCAATCCCCTTGCCTCTGTTTTTCCAGCTTCAAAAGTGGGTTATATATTTAACTTGATGACCTCCGTTAAAAAAAGTAAGGAAAAAAATCGAGTTATGTATCTTGCCTCTCTTTCAATGTCATTGTGGTCATTAGCTATAGTAATGTGTATGAAAGCCTTTCGTAGAAAGTTTTAAACATATAAGCCCCCCTCCCTCTATTTTCCATGACTATATTGATGTCGGGTGGGCAGGGTGACTCACACCTGTAGTCCCAGCACTTTGGGAGGCTGAGGCAGAGGAGTGGCTTGAACTCAGGAGTTTGAGACCACCCTGAGCAACATGGCAAGATCCCACCTCAAAAAATTATAATAAAATAAAATAATACAAATTGAAAAAATTAAAATTAAAAAATAATATCGATGTGAATGATGGCAGAGACCAATCTAGGTACACATGACATCATAGGCACCCTGCATGGTGGCTCCAAATCAGCTCTCGGGTCTATAGCCCACGGCGTATTTTAGGTATATACAGCATGTTGGATCAAGAATAATGACTCATATTTCTTTCTTAGGGTTATACTATGGTCTGAACGTTAGTGTCCCCCCACCCAAATTCATGTGTTGAAACTTAATCCTAATGTCATAGTATTAAGAGGCAGAGTCTTTTGGGATGTTATTAAGTCATGAGAGATTGGCGCTCTTACAAAAGAGATTGAAAGGACCACGTTTACTACACAGCAAGAAGGCACCATCTTTGAAGCACAAAGCAAACCCTCGCCAGGCAATGATTAGCTGATTAGCTGATTAGCTGGTACATTAAGCTTGGACTCTCTAGCCTCCAAAATTGATTAATTTATGTTGTTTATAAGTTACCTAGTCTAAGGTATTTTGTTATAGCAACAAAAAAGGACAAGGTAGGTTTCAACCCTAACATTTCCCATTAGGATTCCAAAGGCCATACTTAAAATGTCTTGTTGCTTCTTTCTCATTGTTAATAAATATATTAATATTATAATAGTGGTAATAAGTCTTTCCAATAATTTTCCAATAATAAGAAAAACTTTAATTACTTGCTGAAGTTAGCTGGAAACATGCCATAGGGGTTAAGAACATGTGAGTCCATGCTCACTGTCTTCTGACTTATTTTTCTCATCCACTCCCTCTGATTACAATCATGTCATAAAGGAGTAACCCTCTTTTACTTTTCTTGTCATCTGTTCACCCAAAGTCTCCACACTGTGGGGACACTTTGGCATGGATCGTGTTCAGGTCATGTTACCCAATACAGTTGCAAAACATTTTGGCTATTTTGCCTGATGGACTTAATCTCATCTGCACTTCTTTTTTCCTATTCACTGTCGTGAAGCCCATGTGATCTAGCCTCACTCACCTCACTACTGACATTGTCTCCCCAAAGGCTAATGCTCACAATTCCATGACTAACTCCAAGGACATTTTGTGTCCTTTTTTTTTTGTTTGAGCTCAGGCAGCACTGGGCCTTGTGGCCTGCCGCCCTGTTCTTGACTCTCTTGCCCCCTTCCTGGGTTTACGTGAAGTTGCTTTTCTTTCCTGGTTCTCCTCCAGCTCTCTGAGGACTTCTTCTCCTTCTTCTTCTTCTTTTTTTTGAGATGGAGTTTCACTCTGTCACCCAGGCTGAAGTGCAGTGGTAGGATCTCGGCTTACGGCAACCTCTGTCCCCTCCGTGAGTTCAAGCGATTCTCCTGCCTCAGCCTCCTGAGTAGCTGGGATTACAGGCACCTGCCGCCATGCCCGGCTACTTTTTGTGTTTTTAGTAGAGATGGGGTTTCACCATGTTTGGCCGGGCTGGTCTCGAAATCCTGACCTCAAGTGATCCACCCACCTTGGCCTTCCAGAGTACTGGGATTACAGGCGTGAGCCACTGCGCCCGACCCTTCTTCTTTCTATATTTTGCAGGAACTTTATCTGCTTCTAGTTTCTTAGATATTTCTTCTTTAACACGTTGGTCTCCCTGGGAGGAAGTCTAGACTTCTGAGCACATGTCTTTTCCAGGTTAGCCTTCAGTTGGCATCTCTGTTTCCTGTCCAACAAAAACTTCCCACCAGTCTACAATTATATGGGAAAGGAGAACCTTACCAGTGGCGAGTCCTTTGTCCTCCTCTGCAGTTTCCAGCACTGTGATGTGTATGAGGCAGGAAGCCCGTGTCTCCCAGCGAAGGGCACTCTTTGCTGCACCCCCAGGGAGCCATATGGCAGAAATTTCCTTCAGAACTTGGGGCTAGAAAAGGCCATGCTTGTTGCAAGAAACAAACCTTTGTCTCAGTCTCTGACAAGTATGAATTATAAATTAAAAGCTTTACTTTGGCAACAAGCAGTATTATCATTAAGCGTAAGTGCCAAATGCAGCACCCCTCCTGGTCTGCGTTTCTGAGTGCTTCTTTTCCCCAATCTCCCTTTCTATCCTTATTTGCTCAAATTGTACTGATTTACTAAATGTGTTATTTTTAAAAAAATAAAAGGATGTGGTGTATATTCATTTCTTCTCCACATATCTGAGTGCCTTTTCTTTGTCAGATACTGAGCCAGATATCTACCCATTCTGAAGGACATGTTTCTTAACTTTCAAAGGGTTTCCTGAATGTTAGAAAACAGAAAAAAATCAGACAATTATAATAATCTACCATTTCAGCTGGAATGGAGATGAGTTCAAGGTAGAGTAAAATAAAGGAGAGAAGCAGAATCATTAGTTGGTGGCATGAGGAAAGGGATAACAAGAAGTTTGAACAAAATTGGAAGAACTATAGGAGTTTTTCCGGGAGTTAAGCAGGTGAACAACGTTCCAGGCAGCCAATCGCAAAGGCAAAGGAAAGGTTGCACAAGACCCTGATAAAGTCAGAGGACTGGAGTCGAGTCCTTTTGGATCGTAGAGTCATGGAATTAGTATAAACAGAGACCCCAGAGCCAGAGCGAGACCCCAGAGCCAGAGCATCATTATTCCAGTATGATTTGCAAGTTGCAGATTTCATCATGAAGAATAGCAGTAAAAAACTTTAGGCAATGAAGTGACATTGCATTTTCATGTTTGCCGTGTGTAAAAATAAAATAAAGTTCATAAATGTCGGCTTAATTGAAGGAAGTTTTAAGCTAACTGGAATGATATTCATTGTGGAATTAGAGTGCATACCAGCATTTGCTAATAAAATAGGAAGCTAGGCATGTGACTCAAACTGGTGTGATAACTTAATGACCTTCCTTAGAGTATGAAGTATAACGAGCTTTAGTCTATGCCCATCTTGTTTATATTTTGTTGACATACCATTTATTGATGCTTGACTTTGCTAATCTTGGCTAAAAACTTCAGAGTACTCTAAAAGCTCTCCTTACTGTGCATGGTGGCCAAGACACATTGAAAGACTTCTGCAGGAGGCTAGCATTTGGGTCTGGGGAGATGATACTCTTCTTGGAATTCAGTCTATTTTGATAGCACATGGAGATTGATTTGATAATCTACAAAAATGCACATGAATGTCCCATTCATTATTCAAGGGGATAGTAACCTTTTGGCTCAAGTGCTATCCAGCTGCAAAGAGAAAGCAGCATCCATCAGAATGACATGTACTTCAGAGTAACATATTGCTTGGCACAGGGAGCCCAAAGATGAGCTCTGTCCTGGCTACTGAGAGCACATAAAACATGCAAATAAATGCACCAAAGTAATGAATGTGGATGCTCGGCTTTGTTATTCTGGGCTTTCCACCCCTGTGCCTCATGGAGTGAGACACTGACTTCTATATTGGAAAAAGTTTCTGCTTCTCATCTCTAGCTCCTCCTTTCAGCTTCAGTAGATGTTGGCCTCATTATTTTACTGTGCTAAACTTGTTGCTTCTAGCTCAATTTTCTGTGTGATAGAGGTGGTAATGGATCTTTGCCTTTAGTGTGAATTCTCTCATATTGGGTAGAAAGTATAAATTTTCTTGTGTTCTTTTGTTTCATTCATTCACTATTTTAGTTAATCAACCAACAAATGTTTATTGAGAGAACAGGTTTTGCAAATTACTTTGCTTGGGATTCAGGGACTTAAACACAAATGAGGCATAGTCCTGTCTTTGCAGACCCCACAGTTTAGTGGAGACAAATAGGTGAATGATCACAGTGCATAGGCTTCATGTAGTAATATATTATTTGAGGGGAAAGGTAAATAAATCAGTGAGTTCCAATATATGTGTGTTGCCTGAGTTTGGGTATGAGTGGTTGCCTTCACCAGATTCCATAGTATTTAGAAGAGTGATCCTCTTGGAATGAGGAGAGTTAAACTGTTCTTGGAGCTCTTCCAAACTCCATAAGCTCTCTTGTAAACTCTTCTCCACAAAGACTGAATATCATTGTTGTAAAGCAGTGGTATTCAATTGGGGCCAACCTGCACCTGTGATCAAAGACCAGAATTTCTGGAGACATTTTTGCTTGTCGTATTTGGACAGGGGTGGGATGCTACTGGCATCTAGTGGGTAGAGGTCAGGGATGTTTTTGAATATCATACAAGGCACAGACCAGTCCCCCACAACTAAGAATGTTCTGGCCTAAAATACCGATAGGGCCAAGATTGAAAAGCCTTATTGTAAAGCAACGTGTAAGGTGGAAGCACAGCATGTTGCTCAATGGCAGTGAAATATGTTCTATAGCATGAAAGAGATCTTCATTTAGATTTTCAGTTCTCTATGTCCAAATCAGTTCTTGTGTTCCAGGTAAAAGGCCCTCTTATATTTAACCAATGTTTGTATACAGAGAGATACCCTTCATTGCCTGAAAGTTCTTCCTAACCTGATTGATGACAAACAAGGTCCTCTATGCAATCAGCATGGGCTTCCTGAGCCCTGGTCTGAGTTATTCTTAGGGCTTGCCCCTCAGAGGGCCCTTTCTCCTTCTGGGTTCCTTGTTACTCAGATGTCGCCTTGCAGCTGCTGCCTGTCCACCCCTCGGCAGCTGCCATTCTCCCCTGCTGGTTACAACTCACTGTTGCCCAGTCTCTGTTTGTCTCTGTGTCACCAAGTGATATCTAATCATATAATAAATCATGTTATAAAATGTTAAATAAAAGCTTTGCAAGTTATGACCCCTGTCACCAAGTGGTCATAATTCCTAAAGCCAATCTTAGATAGCCTGGGTTTGAGTGATCTTAGCTCTGGGAGACTCTCAAAAAGATAAGTTTTGTTTTCAAAAATTTTCTCCCTTTTGTTGAGAAACATCTGTACATCCCTCAAACCCTGGAGTCCCAGCATGTTTGAGGGATTCCAGCCAATGCTGCAGTGAATGCCTCCCTCATTACCATGCGCCCTGGTTTAGGGGGAGGCAGTGGAGAAATCCTTTGATTCTCCATTTCTTAATGACAATTCCTTGCTTTTCCAGAACATGTTCCACCAATGGCTTGGTGACTGGACAACCCTTTTCTTACTTAATGAGTATCCTGAAAGCTCAGCTGACCATCCCAAATGTATATAATAATACAATTTAAAATAACATTAATAATAATAATTGTTATTTACATAGATAATATGGTATTTCAGACCCTTATGAAGATAAGATCATTATGGTTTTCTCTGACATGTCAAATATTTGGAAGCTAGTGTTCAGATTGATTTGACTTTCATTATTACCTTTAGTGGTTTTTTTTTTTTTGAGACAGAGTCTTACTCTTTCACCCAGGCTGGTGTGGTGGAGGGTGCCTAAATCCCAACTACTCGCGGGGCTGAGGCAGGAGGATCACTTGAAACTGGGAGGCAGCGATCTCGGTTCACTGCCACCTCTGCCTCCTGGGTTCAAGTGATTCTCCTGCCTCAGCCTCCCGAGTAGTTGGGATTACAGGCAGCCTCCACCACACCAGGCTAATTTTTGTATTTTTTGTATTTTTAGTAGAGATGGGGTTTTGCCATGTTGGTCAGGCTGGTCTTGAACTCCTGTCCTCAGGTGATCTGCCCGCCTAGGCCTCCCAAAGTGCTGGGATTACAGGCGTGAGCCACCATGCCTGGCCTAGTGTGTGTTTTTATTCTTCTTAATTATCTTAGACATTATTATTTTATTCAACATAATAACAGCCATGATGATAATGATTAATGTTTATTAGCCTCTTACTATGCGCCCATCATTTTGCTAAATGGTTACATGACATTGCTTTTTATTCTCACAAAACCCTATGTGGTTGGTGCTTTTATTATATCCAATTGGCCAAGAAGGACATTATTTCAGAAAAGTATTATAGGTATTCCTAAGGCTGTAAAAGAAGTGGAAGAGCTGGAATTTGAACCCAGTTCTGTCTGAAATCACCACCACCGAATGGAGGATTTGATATGAATGAACGACATCTTTCTTCTTATATAATCATATAACAAATCACATTATTAAATGTTAAGTAAAAACATTACAAGTTACCACAATTGCTTTAGAAAATGATATGGGGGGATGCTGACTGTGAGTGCTGTGTTTATAAACACCAGGCCTAACCAACATGCCACGCGTCTTTTTCTTTTCTTTTGAGACAGAGTCTCACTGTGTCACCCAAGTTGAAGAGTACACTGTCACAATCATGGCTCATTGCAGCCTCAACCTCCCAGGCTAGGGTGTTCCTCCTACCTCAGTCTCCTGAGTAGATGGGACTATAGTGACATGCCACCACACCCAGCTAATTCTTTTGTATTGTAGTGACAGGGTTTTGCCATGTTGCCCAGGCTCATCTTGAACTCCTGGGCACAAATGATCCTCCCACCTTGGCCTCCTGAAGTGCTGGGATTACAGGCATGAGCTACTGTGCCCAGCCCCGTCATGCATTTCTGTTGGATTAATCAATAGAGGGAGACGTGCTGATGCATGCGCTGACACCATGACCTGTCTTCGTACGCTGACTCCCTATTTTGGTTATTTCCATAGAGCTATATTATTGCTTTATTTTATCCTCTTCCATAATATATATGTTTCAGCATAAAATATTTATTGGGAAAATACATGTCACATTTATACAGGCTATGTAGATTCATTTTGCTGTTGTTTATATAAATATGGCATAGAGGTGTTTAAAAATTTAATACTGTATTTTTATAAAAATAGATTAACTATGATTAACTTCTGACCCAAAGACACTAGGCTTACCTAGAATGTGCTCAGCATATGAATAAGAAATTATTTCTTTGATTACATAATTGCCCACGGACTTCCTTAGGGACCAAGACAGGAGGCTCTTCTTGGTGGGTGTGTTTTCGACCTCTGTTCAGACGTCAGGGGAGATCTCCAGGCAGGTCAGTACCTTCTCTGTCTGGCATTCAGTTGGGGTCTTCAGTATGCTGAGAATCCTTCTTTACTAAGGCAGAGTCCGTCCAGATGTACCCAGACATCACAGCCCTCACCAGCCTGTGATTACAAAATAAGGTGACCTTCGTTTTAAAGGCCAAATTATCAATTGAAACACACTGGCCTGGTCACTGGAAATTAAGCTTCCATACTTCAGCTTATTTTCTCCAGTTCCCTCCAGTTCCGAGGTGCCATAGGGAGCAGCCACCACACCATGTTCACCCCATCCTTCTCTCCCCACTCTGAATTCCACTCCAATCCTTCCCCACTAAAGGCCCTGCTGAAGTGTCTGCTTCATCAGGGAGTCCTGCTGTCCTGCTCTGGGGAGATTCACTCACAACAAGGTCCCTCATGACCCCCCTCCATCTCTATGGCCTCTTCTCCAGCCCTCTTTGCTTCTTCCCATGTGGTGCCCAGTCCACATGTCTCAGCCCAGAGTCCTCACAGAGTGGCTCTTCCCCCAGCACACACCCTCCCCAGGCTCCACAGGGAAGAGGACAGGGTTTTTTTCAGGCCCACATGCCCCTCATGGTCACCCCTGAACTGTGAGAATGTGGGAATTTTGAGGGGCAGCCTTCTAACCTTATGAGCAATTATGGCAACGGAGCTGCCATTCCAGTCATTCTTTCAACATCAGGACATGGGAGAAGCAAGAATCCATTACCAAAGCAAATTACTATTTTTCTAGAGATAATGAAGTGGAGACTCGTATTGAGGGGTTGTTTCCTTCCTCTTAGCTTGGTTTGTTTACATTTCTCCCCAGTTACCCTCTGAAACATATTCTCTGCTGCCCCACAGTAGCTGAGAATGCTGAGCTTCAAACTCACCTGGAATAATGCCAGGTCTAATTGCATCCTTTTGGATTCCAAGACCTCAACCTGATGGAAAGATGAGGGAAGATTCACACAGGCCATCCTTTCCTTTTGTGTTTTCTTCTCTCTCATCTTCTCCTTCTGCAGATGGCACATGGGGCACCCAGAAGTGATTGTGCCCTCTCTGCAGCAATGGAGGGCACCAAGCCCTATGTCCTCTTCTTTGGGCCTCCACTGGATTTTGCAAACTGCAGCTCGTGCTGCTTGGCTTCTGGGCACCAGCATCCGCTCATGGCCCCTGCATTGGAAGTGTCCAGGGCTGGTGCTGACTGAGCCCCTCCCCCATGTCCAGGTGATGGTTCTCCCCTCCACACCTGCTCATGCTCCTGGGCCTCAAGACACAGTGGTCAGCTACATCCTGATCCTAGCTTGGACCTCAGGAGTGTTCCTCTGACTTCCCCTCCCCATTATAGGACTTTCAATCTCCCTTTGCTCTTCTGGTCACTCACTGGGTCAGCTGGGAGTTTCTCCCTTGAAGGCAGCAGCAGAGCTGGGACAGCCAGGCCCCCTGCCTACCTGCTGTAAGAAAAATGGATGTGCTGCCATCAAGAATAGACCAAGGCAGACGTCCAGTCCAGCATGACTCAGTGAGTTTGGAGCACAGGCGCACAACTCTGCTCATTATGTAACCACGCCATGTGAGGCAAATTAGGTGGTCACCCATATGAGTTCGTGCTTGACTCAGAGCCACTATTTTCTATAAAATACCTTAATGCTGTACATATGGCTTGTACCCAGGCTCGCTTGCACCCAGCCCTGCTCATGCTCAGAGAGATAGTAAAGTCATGTTGAAACTGTCTATGATTCCTTGAGTGTTTTGCCAGCTACCTGCCATTCACCAGGTGACTTCCACCAGACTGCAGTTAGAACCTGGCACCTGTGCTGCATTTTCACTCCTCTGTGCCCACCTGTATTGCCCCAAGATTGATTCTCCATGGCCTTGACAGGTGCATGGCCTCTGCCCTGGGCAGTGTGGAGTCAGTTCCCTTCCCTCACTCTAGGATTCCCCTACTTTTCCAATCACTTCCAATCCTGCCTTTCAGGTGTTTAGCAGTGTACAGAGGGCTGGGTGGGATGGCAGAACCCGGGCACTCCTGTTGACGATGCATCCTTCACTTCCTCCGTCTCCTTCCCTGTCTCCTCCTTTTCCATTACTCAAGCCAGCTGACCTCAGAACTTCAGAAAATGAATGTAAATGTATATTGTTCTCAATATTTCTACTTTTTCTGTTGTGGAAACTTCCTTTGTATCATAATATTCTTTTTCTTTGATTCTCCAAATGTAGATCCTTACTATTTTAAAAGAAGCATTAGAAATTCAGAAGACACGAGGTCAGGAGATCGAGACCATCCCGGCTAAAACGGTGAAACCCCGTCTCTACTAAAAATACAAAAAATTAGCCGGGCGTAGTGGCGGGCGCCTGTAGTCCCAGCTACTCGGGAGGCTGAGGCAGGAGAATGGCGTGAACCCGGGAGGCGGAGCTTGCAGTGAGCCGAGATTGCGCCACTGCACTCCAGCCTGGGCGACAGAGCGAGACTCCGTCTCAAAAAAAAAAAAAAAAAAAAAAAAAAAAAAAAAAGAAATTCAGAAGAAACTAAGACTTTTTTGTTTAGCAAGATTTGACTTTCAGCCTATTGTCCACTATAGAATTAGTAGATCAAATTTAATATACAAAGTTGCATAATAACTTCTTTGCTCTGGAATGTTTCTGTCCTTTTCTAGTGACACAGATGTCCTGATCCGTTTGTCTGGGGAACTGTAGTGTAACATGATTTTGGAAAAAACAGGTCATATAACATTTAAATATCAATATATTTTTATGTTATTTATATAGTATGTATATATTATATATAATACATATGAAATAAGTATAAACATATATTATATATATTTATCTTTTTCTATCTCAAAATTTTAAATTCAATGTTATTTTAGGATAATATATATGTTTATATATTATATATCTTAGGTATTTACATATTTATGTATATGTAATTATATATTACATATATGATATTTATAATATAAATATAATTATATATTTCTCCTGTCATAACATTGAGTTAAACACTTTGAGACAGAAATAGAGGAAATCCTGCCACAAGAGTTGTCTACCCTATATAAATATAAAATATTTATTTTTATGTTCAACTGACCCTGCTCTTATCCTTACATGATGTAACAAATAATAAATACCATTAATGTCAACATTTGAAATGTATTTAACAATTCAATGATTTATAAAGGCTGGCATGACCTAAACATCCCTGACTCATCCCTTTAATTCAGGCTCCATAATTAGCCAATCAACAGGTCTTGCCATCTTTTCATTTCTTCAAATTTTCCCCTCCATACATAACAGCTGGTTGTCAGCCATGATTACTCCCTGCTTTTTATAGGGTTGTTCAGGGTTTTCACTGCAATTATAAGTTAAATGCCATCATCTCTAGGTCTCATGAGATGGAAAGAAAGAACTCCTGTCCCATGAAAGGCTATGAAGCATGTAATTCCATAGATTCTTCTAGTCCATGAAGTCTCATATATTTTATTATAACATAAAAGCATAGATTTACATTGATTTGCCAAAGTTCTGACATAAGGCCAAGAATATTTCTTTGAGCATAGATGGGTCAGCTGGAGTTATTCATCATTTTTCTTAGAGAAAATCGCAAACATAATGCCTTACATATAATTTCCAGATATTTTGCTTTAAAATGGAATGCAAAGCAATTTAACGACATAATCCTTCGAGTTTTATGGAACTTTCTTCAGACTTTTACAGTGGTTTTGCTTATACCTAATTTGCATTTTCTTTTTTTAAATTTTCATACTTAATTGGTTTCCTTAATATTTAATTACTTTACAGAACAATACGAACCCCTGGCATAAGCAGGCTTGTGAACACAAGGAACTCTCTTACCACTGCCACCTTATCTACTGCCTCTTTGTGAAGACAATTTCTGAACTGGTGAGAGCAGTGTGAGTGCCCTCAAGTAGCCTGCTGCCTGAGGTCCGCATGCAACCTGCCTCAGGACCTCACATGCACCAGAGATCCGCAGGTAAGTGGTAGGTCAGGGGGATGCAGTTCAGGTGAAGGCTTTTTATTGTACCTAAGCTTTGCAGGTTGCACTGTATTGTTATGCATCTTTACGCCTTCATGCATTTATTCTATAACTTTGTACTTTGCCTTTTGCCAAAGACTACTAATTCTTCACAACCTAGACAGTAGCCACTTTACCTGCATGGCCTCCTCCAACACCCTACTACCTGCTCAGGTCTTCTTTATTACTATAGAGACTTGCATACATCTTGAACACATGCCATTTTATTATGGCAACAATTTTATTGTACTTGCTTTTCTTACCTACTAGACTTTAAACTTCTGAAGACAGAGAATGTTTTTTTATCTCTGCATCCTAGTACCTGACACAGTAACAGGCATGCCCACTGAATTTTGCTTAGTTGAATGAATGAATGGATATTCTGCTGAATGGAGTTATTTTCTGTCTCTTAATGCTATTGAAACTGCTATCCTGTGCTGTCCAACATGGGCTCCACAAGCCACATGTAGCTATTGAAATTTAAATTAATTGCATTAAAATAAAATTATGTTATGACCAGTTCCTTGGCCACACCAGTGACATTTCAGGGGCTCAGTGGTCAAATGTTTTGGTTAGCTGCCGCACTGGAGGATAACAGACCCATCCTTGTGGCAGTTTCCCATCGACAACACTGCCTAGTCTCTCCGACTGGGGTTGTTGAGCCGTATTGGAAACATCTTCTTTGCTAATTCCCCTGAGGACTGGTAGTCCTTGATTTTTCTTTTCCTACCTCAGCACAATATAACACAATTGTTTCTTTCTTCAAGCAACTGGATTCCAAATTCCATTTTAGGCATGGTGATAAATTTTCTTTTTCCTATTGCTTTGTGGCTCCAGGCTTTTTTTTTTTTCAATACATTTTTATGGAAAGTAGTTTGCTTTAACAGCTTTCATGTTGACGGCTATTTGACATAAAGGCTACAGTTTGCTGGTTTAAATCCGATTCACACAATCTCAGTCGCAAATGCCCTTATCCATGGTCATCTGAATGTAATAACACACAGCTTCACAGCTGATGTCTTCCAATACAGATGCTCTATGATGTGGCCCTGCTTTGGGACAGCTCTGAGAAATGTAACCGTTCATGATGTTTCAGTAAGAACCTAGGATAACTGTTCAAGTGGTGTCTATAAAAAACACTCAGCTTTTAAGAAATGCTCCATATACGTTAGCTTATGTCTCCCTTAGCAGCCCTGTTCACTGTATCATAGCTGAAGTCACTGGCCTGAAGGGAATAAAATAACAATAACAGCTACTTTCATCTGTATTGTACTTTATAGTGTAGAGAGTGCTTTCAAACAAGAGTCTCTCTTTTCTAAGAATGAGATGTGCTATTTGGCATTTCTAATTAACTAAAAAAGTGAGGCGGTAGGTAGTTTACCATTCTTTGAGCTGAAGTCACAGATATTCTTTTCACTCTGCTTCTATTACTTCATACTCAATAAGCCAAAGCATATTTAATAATCCCTGTTATCACGATAAACATTTATTTATGTTCAGGCTGTAGGAGGCATGGCTCCTAATATTTTATTCTCTTCTTAAGTTTCTCCTATTGTGTTTCTTCCTCAGTTAAAAACCTATAAGCCAATGTTTAAAAGCTATAGATAGACAAAATGTTAACAGCAATGATATCTTAGGGATAAGCGTTCTTTTGAAGTTTTATTTATCCTCACATTGGCTGGTGAGGTAAATTTGGATTTGGCACATGGTTTTTTGGAGTCTTAGAGTTAGAAGAGTTCCAGGGGGTGAATTTAGGTCAGTTGTTCCTTCTCCTCCTCCTCTCTAGCTATTGCCACCCTGTCAACTGTGTTTGTGTTTCCTGGGCACTTCTCTCTTCCCCTGATGTCCCCGTAGCCCCTTACTCCTTCTCTACTTCCTCATTCTCACTGCCTTGGGTCAACAGTTCCTCCTCTGATTGTCCCCCACTGCCACTTTCAGTGACTCCAAGACATTCATAAACAAACATCAAAAAGACAGAAATGCCCCTGACTTAGCACGGAACTTCTGAGCTCTGTGTTTACTTGCAGATGTGGTGAAAGCAATCAACACATCATCAGTTCTACTACCCATTCCAGTTGCTGGGCTAAAGAACTGTCAAAAATAAAATAGACGTGGTTCCTGGCTCTTAGGAATGTAGATTCTGACAGGGATAGAGTTCAAAGTTGTTACCAGTATTGTCTCCACAGATGGGTACTTTAGCATAATCACAAAAGAGGGAATATTTTCTCTTATGCGCAAGCAAACATCTCATTTCCCTTGGTAACAGCCAGGCAAGCATCACTGAGGAACGGCCAGGTGGGTGGGGAGTCAGGCCCTGGAGCCGAGCCCAACTCTACTCTCAGGAGCCCATGCTCCTGGGGGGAGGCACTGGTTCTCATTGCTTTTGCTGATGGTTCTCAAATCAGGGTGCTTATGGCTGCCAATGGTACCTCATTGTATCAGTCAGGATTCTCTAGAGGGACAGAACTAATAGGATAGATGTATATAAAAAGGCAGTTTATTAAGGAGTATTAACTCACACGATCACAAGGTCCCACAGTAGGCCGTCTGCAAGCTGAGGAGCAAGGAAGCCAGTCCAAGTCCCAAAGCTGAAGAACTTGGAGTCCGATGTTCGAGGGCAGGAAGCATCCAGCACAGGAGAAAGATGTAGGCTGGGAGGCTAAGCTGGTCTGATCTCTCCACGTTCTCCTGCCCTTTATTCTAGTCCTGCTGGCAGCTGATTAGATGGTGCCCACCCAGATTAAGGGTGGGTCTGCCTTTTGCAGCCCACTGACTCAAATGTAAATCTCCTTTGGCAAGACTCTCACAGAAACTCCCAGGATCAATACTTTGCATCCTTCAATCCAATGAAGTGGACACTCAGAATTAACCATCACAGTCACACAAGTGGACTCACAACAGATCACGTTCAATGTAGAAGTTTGTAGAATAACTTCTTTGTTCTAAGATGTTTCTATGCTGTTCCAACGACACTAGATGCCCTTGATTCATTTGTCTGGGGAGCTGTAGTATAATATGATTCTGAAAAAATATATATATTATACAACAAATTTAAATAACTATATATATTTACATATTATTTACCTATTATTTATATTTTTATCTGGTCTCTAATATATGTGTTTTTGTATCTATATATAAATATACATATATAAATATATGTTAAGTGCATAAAATATATATTTATATATTAAAATAATATATTAATATAAAATATAAATAAATACAATAAACAATTATAGTAAATAAATATAAATACATAAAATATATTTATGTATCTATATAAATATATAATGTGTATATAGTTATATTTATATTATATATAGAATATAAATATATACATATATGTACATATACATATATAAATATATGTAACATATGAATATATATTTATATTCATATTTTATGTGTATTTATATAAACTATACATAAATATATAGCTTCTTTTTAAACCTAAAACTCTAGGATTATAAATTACTGATTATTTCTCAAATGGTAAAAATGAGAAAGAATCATGCTGAATATTTGTATTTTCCCAAGTCTTATTTCTTTTAAAATTGGATTTATTTATGCTTTATATACATATAAATATGTATTTCCTGGTCAAAACTTTAAGACAGAAAAAGAAGGAATCCTACCACAAGGGTCTACCCCAGATAAACTATGATGATGCTGATGAGGACGTTTTGTTTTCAGGGCCAGAATGTCACATGTCGCAACACATACATAGTCCTTCACTGGAAGAACTGATTGCCCTGAATGTCAACGGCCTTCCTCTCGAGAAATATTGGTAAAGTACCTGGAAGTTTCTTCTTAAACTTAAAACTCTATAGTTATAAGTTACTAATTATATTTAGAAAGCTGAAAATGAGAAAGAATCATGCTGAATATTTCTATTTTCTAAGTTTTGCTTCTTTTAGAATTGGATTTTTATGCTTTTCTTAATAGCCAGAACATAGTTTAAAAATTATCACTCTCATGTTAAAGATTAAAGAATATTTAAAAAAAGAATAAAGAATAACAAAGTCAACTAAAGAGTAGATGATGTGCTGAGACAGGCAACACAATCTGAGGACTGAGACACGCTCCAGTCAGTAAACAAATGTTAAATACTTGCACCTCTGGGTGCACACATGACTTAGTCCTTGTGGAAGGTACACAGATAAGATGATGCTTAGCGAATCCACAGGAAGTCCAACATAGAGGACATGGGCTTAAGCACAGACAGCCCTTGCATAAGGTGCAGAGTGACCTGAAAGCAATGCAGCCAGAGGAAGGAGGGGAGCAGAAACACAGGAAGTCAGGGGCACTTGAAAGACAGGAACAAAAACAGGAGAATTCCCTGTCACCAGAGCTGAGAGAGGGAGAGAAAGAGCAGAAAACTGCCCTGTCTGTGCCAGTAGTAAACATTCTGCTGTGTTTTATCACACTTAATTCTCATTGTGTTGCTGGAATGGAAGAATCATCACCATCATCTTACAGATACATACATTAAGGTTTGATGAGATTCAGAAACTGGTTAAAAGTTATACAAATGAACTAGCACATCCTAGAAGACACAGGTTTGGGGAGGACTGCGATTTGGGGAGGACAGAACTTTGGGGAGGACCGAGCTTTGGGGAGGACCAAGAGTGTTTCAGGCATTTAATTTGCCTCTCCATATCAGCTTCCCATCTTCTTATGAGGATATTTATCTGTTTTTCTTTTCCATGATTTTTATATAAAATTTTCCATCATAACCATTTTTAAGTATGCAGTTCTGTGGTGTTAAGAACATTCATGCTGTTGGGCAGCCATCACCATCCCCAAAGCTTTGTCACATGCCCGCGTGAAACTCCATATATTTTAACAATAATTCCCCATTTCTCCTCACACCCCCAGCCCCCAGCAGCCATCATTTGACTTTCTGTCTCTATGAATTTGACTACTATAAGTACCTCATATAAGTGGGCTTCTAATATTTGTCCTTTTGTGAAAGGCTTATCTCACTTAGCACAGTGTCTTCAAGGTTCATCCATGTTGTAGGATGTGCCATAATTCACTTTGTTCATCTGTTCATCCATCCATCCATTTATCCATTTGGGTTGCTTTCAACTTTTGGCTGCTATGAATAATGTTGCTAGGAATATAAGTATAAAAATATTTGTTTGATTCTGGCCAGGTGCAGTGGCTCACGCCTGTAATCCCAGCACTTTGGGAGGCCGAGGCAGGTGGATCACAAGGTCAGGAAATCGAGACCATCCTGGCTAACTCGGTGAAACCCCGTCTCTACTAAAAATACAAAAAAATTAGCCAGGCATGGTGGTGTGCTCCTGTAGTCCCAGCTACTCGGGAGGCTGAGGCAGGAGAATGGTGTGAACCTGGGAGGCGGAGCTTGCAGTCAGCCAAGATGGCACCACTGCACTCCAGCCTGGGCTGACAGAGCAAGACTACGTCTCAAAAAAAAAAAAAAAAAAAAAAAAAATTTATATATATATATATATATATATATATATGTATGTATATTGTTTTCAATTCCCCTGGGTACATACCCAGATATGAAATTGCTGAATCATATGGTAAATTTGTTTAATTTTTCCAAAAGCCACCATACTGTATGCCACGGTAGACGTATCACTTTACTCTCACACCAGTAATGCAAACATTCCCAATTTTCTCCATATTCTTGCCAACACTTATTTTCTGTTTTAATTAATTTGTTTGTTTTTAGTAACAGCCATCCTAATGGGTATGAAGTGGTATCTTATTATGGCCTTGACTTTCATGAATTTCTAAGGACTATTTATATACTAAGGATAACAGCCGTTGGCTTTTTCTTCTGATTCATCTCTGTCTTGTCTGTCTCTGTTCTCACTGGTTCTTCAGTTCTCCTCTCTGCTCAGCCTCTTCAGCTCTACTGCTTCCTGGCTCATTGGGTCTCATCTTGATTTTCCAGAACCAGCTTATTAAATTCCTATTCCTTTTGATGGCAACTATCTCTGGACCTGTCACCTGATAAGAGCCATTGCTTTAGTGCATTGTATAAACCTCCTATGCAACCACCAGCCCTGCTATTTAATCTGACAGCTAGATCAGGACTAAAAGTCCCAAACTCCTGTTTGGGAAATAACATTGACTTTTCAATCACAATGACTCCAATTACGTCAGACACAGAGCAGATATTTCTACATACTCACTAAGTTTCAGTGCTTATTAAATAAATAAGTATTTCATTTGAAATACTCATAAAAATTAGGTCACATTTCACCTATTTTAGAGGGAAAACAAGAAAATCCTTTTTAATGGTCCTCACAATGAGTTACTGCTGGAAGAATTAGCCATCAATGTGAGTATTACACATAAAACAGCAATAAATATGATATTCATAATCCAAAATGAACCTCATCAACCATTTACAAAAAACACCCAGTATATTTAATGGAGTTGTATTAATACATTGCTGTGAAGATAATGGCTCCAGACTGCTTATTTTAATGAAGGGATTGCCACTGGGTAGACATTTAGTCTTACTTTCATAAGCCCACTGAGAAGATAGAATATTTTAGCCTTTTTCATCCTTGTATGGAATAAAAAATAGTCATAAACCTCCACTCTGAAAGGTGTTGGATATGATTTATTTGGATAATCAAATTGTGCATATCTTCCCATGTTGCTCTATGAAACACAAGCTATTCTGCTCATTCTGACCTTCCATCTTTCCAGCTGATCGGGTCTGCAGGCGAGAGGGTGACAGTGTGTAGGACATCCCTTCCACTGAGGAATGTTCAATTTGAACAGCTCTGAGCTCTCCATAAACTCTCCAGAGAGCCTGTTTTCACAGGCTCATGACATTTTGACAAAACCTCTGCTTACACACAGTAAAAAGTATCAGCTGCAGAGCTCCCCAAAACATTCTAGGGTGTACAAGGGTTCGAGAATCCTTTGGAATTGGGCTAATGACAAGAACTTGGCTCTTCTTTTCCAGAAGTATGAAGGCGGGTGCTTGAAAGGCAAAAAACTATTTGAGTATTTTGGAAAAACTTTCCATAGTCTACAGTGAATATGTTCTCTGGGACACTGTTTTGTGTTGACCAAGTCTTTGCTCAGTTATTTTTCCGTATTTGTCTGACCCCATGATCTTCCTAGAACGTCATCACATAACCATACCAAAATTATTCTGAAGGGAAAACTGACAATTAGTCATTTTCAGATGTCCATTTATTTATGGAAAAATAAAATGGAAAAATAGCCATAAATAAATAGACACACATATGCATTATAGTTTCAGACGGTGGAAGTGATAGAGAGTGACATGTGAGTTTGATATGATTCATTTCCATATTTTGGTGAATTAACCCTGAAGAAAGAACAGAGATTTGGAACAAAATTTACAAACATGTTAGTAAACAGAGAAATAGAAAATCAAAAGTAAGAGAAAAAATGTTTATGCACACCAACATTACTCTCGCTTATTAGGAACCACATCAGACTTAGAAATCATTCTTTTTTCCTCCATTTCTTCAATAACTGTACCCAAAACCTCCACAGATATGCTGTCTCTACCTCCAAACTCATGCTCCCTTCACTTACTTCTCACCATCTTTCCTGCAATACTGAAGTCCAAAGTGCCATCATTTCTAGCCTGAATGACTGCAGTAACCTCCCAACTTGTCTTCCTGTTTCTCATTTGCTGTCTGCAAATCAGAATAACCTTCTTAATATAGGGTATGGTTTGGGTCTGTGTCCCCACCCAAATCTCATCTCAAGTTGTAATTCTCACATGTCAGGGAAGGGGCCTGGTGGGAAGTGATTGGATCATGAATGTTGATTTCCCCCTTGTTGTTCTTGTGATAGCGATTTCTCATGAGATCTGTTTGTTTTAAAAGTGTGTGGCACTTCTTCCGTTGCTCTCTCTCTCCTGCCACCATGTGAAGAAGGCCCTTGCCTCCCCTTCCCCTTCCACCATGATTGTAAGTTTCCTGAGGCCTCCTAGTTATGCCTCCTGTTAAACCTGTGAACTGTGAGCCAGTTAAACCTCTTTTCTTCATAAATTACCTAGTCTCAGGTAGTTCTTCAGAGGAGTGTGAGAACAGACTAATAAAATATACAAACATAATCACATTATTTCCTGTTGGCTTCCTCTCTCTCCTTCCTCCAGCGACTCACCTTTGACTTTGGACAACCCAGACCCCTTCCTAGGGCTTCAGGTACCTGCAGGAGCTTACTTCTTTCTACTTTTCCAGTTTCTTCTCTTTCCCTGACCACACCCCTAGGTTAGCTTGCCTCCATCAATCCACCCCTCCAATTCAATGCACCTTTCCTTTCTTTTCAAGACCTCAGCTGAAACTATCTTGCTTATTTCTTTTCTTATTATTTTGCCTGTCTTCACATTAAAAATAGAAGCCCTAGATCAACTGTGCTGCTTTTAACTGGATTCTTAACAAGCAGAGTAGTACTTGATGTATAGTAGATAATCAACAAACAATTGTTCAATGAATAAATAAGTGAATTCAGAACTGGTTCAGGATTCAGAAAGGTTCAGCTTGTAGAGTCTCAGTGCCTAAAGAGGAATGAGAGCAGAGAAATCACTTAAACATAATTGCCATTCATTCTTGGAAATAAATCGGCTAACACACTTGCTTTCTTCCTTGATGTCGGAGTTCAAGGTCTTATATATATTAGAGCAGGAGGATTGCTCTAGGCTCAGCTGCAGTTCGTGCTCCAAGGCACAGCCTGTAATTTCAGCATCACAGGAGATATTCCCACCTGTCTTTCTCCCACACATTTTTCTGTAGAGTTGATTAGAGAAGAGCATCAGTGTGTCCTTGATTTTGTTGTACCCTCTACTCCTGCAGAGACCCCTTTCTGGGAACAGAGTGGGAGAGGGTGGAGAAAGAATAAGCCCCGAGTTTTACCTCTTAAGCCTTATCTTTCCGTCATGGCAAAGACTAAGGATTTTTTTTTCATTTTTTTCCTTTTTCTCCCTAAAATGAGCATAGTTCCTGTGATCCAGTAGACAGACATCCAGACACAGACACAAGGATGCAAAAAATTGAGTGGGTTGTTGAACAAAAGACTCAAAAGAGTGATTTCTATAGCATTGACCATTCTATCAATCAGTCTTGGGGGAAACGCCATACATAGGGTGTTGTCACAGATGGAGCTCTTATTTAATTTTAATTTCTGCTCCCTGTCATTCTGATACCTATATATATTTTTTGCTGCTCTGTATCTTCTCTTTTTTTTTTTCTTTTTTTTTTTTTTTTGAGACGGAGTCTCAGTCTGTGGCCCTGGCCGGTGTGCAGTGTTGCCATCTCGGCTCACTGCAAGCTCCTCCTCCCGGGTTCACGCCATTCTCCTGCCTCAGCCTCCTGAGTAGCTGGGACTACAGGCGCCCGCCACCACGCCCGGCTAATTTTCTGTGTTTTTAGTAGAGACGGGGTTCCGTGTTAGCCAGGATGGTCTCGATCTCCTGACCTCGTGATCCGCCCGTCTCGGCCTCCCAAAGTGCTGGAATTACAGGCGTGAGCCACCGCGCCTGGCCTCTGCTCTGTATCTTTTAATATGATACTGGCTGGAAAATCAGATCATCAAGATTATTTGTTACAAATATTCCTTTGTTGGCTACTATGTGCTATTGAGGATAAATGCAAAACACAAGATATTAAAATAAATCTCTTTGCGGCACTTGTGTGGACTCGTTGCACTTGAGCATAAAGTATGTGGAACTTGTCTTTGGAGACGGAGCAGACAAATTTTTCTATGGATAAGGTTAATGACCTTGAGAAATTTCGTAGCATTTATTTTTACTGCTGAGAGTTTTTGTTTGGTTTATTTCTTCATTCTCTTTTTTATTCCAGATGAAAATGTTTGTCAAGTTGCTGATCCCTAGTAATCACAGGAATAGCCGGCATGTTAACAATAACAAACAAACTCTGAAACATCAGTGGCTCAATAGACCACAGCTTTATTTCTCATTTGTATCACAGTCTGATGAAGGGCAGTGCTTCTCCTGTGGGCTCTTTCTCAGCAGAAGAGTCCCACAAAGCTTCCTTTTGCTGTTAGGCCATCTGGAACCAGTGCAGTGAGGAAGGCTAAACCTGAAAGTGGCTTTTGACACTTTTACTTCACACTGGCCTGACTCTGGTCTTAAGGGCCCAACCTAAAATGAAGGGGTGCTGGGAAGCAAAGAGTCCATGGTGATTTAGTGAGCACTAGCAGTAACTACCACTGTAGATATTGCAAAATTCCCTTCAGAAGAGTTATTAAGCATGCACATTGCAAACTGTAGTATACCAGACCAGATTCTAACAGGAGGAAGGTAGAAAATTAAAAGGGGGAAGAAGGAACTCCTATGTCAGCCTCTGACTGTAAAGAGTGCGCATGTTAGGCAGGTCATATAATGCCTCCAGATTCCAGTTTTCTCATCTGTAAGGGCAAGACGACAGACTGAATGAGCTGTAGGGTCCATTTTGGCTTCAAAATTCTTCTTCCTAGGAAATGGCAATTTAATTGGAAATCTAAGATAAAACAAACCAGTACTTTATTAAAACATTTAGAATTCCTGAAAAAAGATACAACGAGAACAGAGCTGGTTTCAGCAGCTGGAGGGGCACCATTTATTTTAAACAAAATGGTCTCATGGCTCCCACAGTCAAATCACAATGAGGATGTGTAAACACTTACAGCATTTCACACTCAAATGTTTCATGATGTATGTTCCCAGAGCTTGAACTTCTTTTACTCTTCATTGCACATTTGATGATATTAGTCACTTTGAATACGTGAAGCTCCTTTTAAGTATGTCTAAGCTAGAGCAAGCAGAGCTCAGCAAAGTTTGTGGGTTTTTTTGAGAATAAGGTAGCAGTATTGCAAATATTTTACGTTTTGCAATACATAAAACCTCTGTTTCAAATACTCATCTCTGCAGATTTTGAGCAAAAGTATCCATGGAAAATATGTTAATAAATGGTCATGGCTGTGTTTCAATACAACTTTATTTATAAAAACAGAGTGATGGACCAGATTTGGACCAAGGGACATAATTTGCAGACCCCCAATCTAGAGTCTAGGATCTTAAACTTTTCAATTCTATTTTAGCATGTCTATTTTATTGAACACATAAAGTCCTCTAATCTAGCTTTATATAGTTACTTTATTTTTACTTGAGAAATAATTGCGTATATCATGTACAACATGATGTTTCCTTTCCTTCCCTTCCCCTTCCCTTTCCCCTTCCCCTTCCCTTTCCCCTTCCCCTTCCCTTTCCCCTTCCCCTTTCCCTTCCCTTCCCTTCCCTCCTTCCTTTCTTTCCTTCCTTCCTTCTGATAGAGTTTCACCCTGTTGCCCAGGCTGGAGTGCAGTGGTGCAATCTTGGCTCACTGCGACCTTCCCCTGCCAGGTTGGAGTGATTCTCCTGCCTCAGCCTCCCAAGTAGCTGGGATTACAGGCATACGCCACCACACCTGGCTAATGATGTTTTAAAATAGGTATACATTGTGGAATGGCTAAGTTAAGCTAAGTAGTATATGCATAACCTTGCATACTTACCATTATTTTGTGGTAGAAACACAAAATCTACTCTTTTAGCTATTTTCAAGAATACAATATATTGTTATTAACTATGGTCACAGTGCTACACAGTAGACCCCCTGAACTTATTCCTTCTATCCAACTAATGGTTTGATGAATACCTACCCCAACCCAGCTCAACCCCTGGAACCACCCTTTTACTCTCTCCTTCTGAGCCAACCTCTTCAACCTTCCTTATATAAGCTTTTTCTGTCCTCATTATGTGTATTGCTAATGAAATGTATTTTTCAGGATGACCTTCAAACAGTGTGTTTGGAAGATCTTCAGAACAATTTTTAATGACTAAATTATCAATTGCAATGGAACAAATCAGTGGCTTAAACCAAACCACATTTATTATCTCATGGTTTCTGTGGTCAGACAATGTGGCACATGGTGGCGGGGTCTCTTGGGCTGGAATCAGCGTCCGCTGGGGCTGCAGGCTCTGCAGGTCTGACTAGGGCCAGCTCTGCTTCTAAGCTCTCTTCTTGTTTGTTGGCCACATCCAGGTTCTCTTGGGCTGTTGGACTGAGGCCTCTGCTCCGTGATAGATGGGTCTCTGCATAATTGCAGCTCACAGCATGAGAGCTGGCAGGAGAGAGAGCAAGCGAGGTGCCAGTTCCACCTCAGAAGTGACTTCCCAGAACCTATATTCGAGCCATTAGAAGGGAGTCACCAGGTCCAACCCACCCTCAAATGGGAGGGGATCCTACATAGTGCAGAGTCTCTGGGGACATTTTCAGAAGTTGCCTACCACAAGATCTACCTATTATTAGGGCAGCTTAACGTGAGGCCCTGTCCTGAAGACACTGATCACTTGTGGTCCAGATTTATGAAATTCCTAAAGCTATGAACAACTAAGGTACCGTGCCATTCTCCAATCATTTGTATAATTAAATTTCTTTCTATTTGTAAACAATTTTCAAATATTCAAGTTAACGTGACTAAGTATGCATCTATAATAAAAATCACTTAACTGAATGCTTCCCTAGAAAGGTACAAAGACACTTTTTTTTTTCATAGAGTTGATTATTCTGATGGTAGTTTCCTGTGATCAGTTACCTGGAGTACAACTAACTAAAGTAAGGAAATAGTGCATTATATCTTAGAAACCTGAAGAAGCTTCCATTACCTGAGCCAATCGATTTCTCTGGCATGACAGATGAAACTTAGGACATGTGAAAAAAATAGATTCAATACTATCATTTTTATAATGAAAGGGCACACTGTTCTTATATGACTAAATGCAAGTATATTATTTCAGAACATAAAGCCAAGGAAGGAAAAGCAAACTGGCTATGGGAATCTTGCAGCCAGATTGTAAGATAAAGCTAACCTTACACAGTTTGCAAAACACTGGCATTTCATCATCTTTTATTTATGGAATTCATTAAAATGGGATGCTAATATACCATGCACTAAAAGGAATCCTGTAAATTGTCCTCCTCAGGAACATCTGGGCCATGAACTCTACGGTAATAGGTGATTTCAGCACCTCAGCGTAAGTGTTAACACTTTGAGTGCTAACTGGCTGCGTGGGGTGGGTGGTGGTGGGGAGGTTGTGCTTGTTCTTGTTTGGGTTTATTTTGATGATAATTTTCAATTCCTTTCCAGATTCTGCTGAGTCTTATCCCTGATGCAAATGACACTAACCTAGTTTGAATAGAAGTCTTTATTTCTATTCTTACACACTAACGTGGAAACAATGCCTATTTTTATTAGGCCCTGAAGGAACACATTTCCTCAGACACTGCAGAGGCACCTGTTAAATCATTTAGCATCAGATAGGTTAAATATTCATATCTGGCTTGCGTTGTAATAACTTGCCTCCTGGAGGCAGCATCTCCGGGCAGAATTGGCTCCCACGCAGTGACTGATAGAGCCTTTGGAAATCCGGGAGTTATTCCCATGATGGCAACATTTGCTTGGGCCAAAGATCTGCAGGCTGGACACAGAGGCTCTTTGCTGGTGGGGATGTCAGACCCAGCCTGAGGGTCTCTCACATCACACAAGGGGGTACAGGCCACATCAAGATCTCATGCTGCATGGTGCCTCCGTGTTCAGTAACTGGGGGCTCCGCTTTAGCAAAATGGGCAGGTACATCTGAAAGCAAGTACCACAAAACCTTAAGGCCCTCACTAGCACCTCATTATCAAAAGATTAGGTCAAAGTTAGTGTGGAATGAGAGACTCTCCATGATCCGGCCCTGTGTGTGTCACAGCAATGACAACAGGTACTCCTCTGCCTCATTTTAATGGTCCAGAAACACTGAGCTAGGGACTGTGTAATTCTTCTCACACATTCTGCTATTTCTCAGCTCTAAGTCCCTGCTTCCTGGATGTTTTCCCATTTACTTTTCAAAACAATCCACTTCTTTTGTTTTGTTTTGTTTTTTGAGATAGTGCCTCACTCTGTCCCTCAGCCTGGAGTGCATTGGCATGATCTCAGCTCACTACAACCTCCACCCCACGGGTTCAAGTGATTCTCATGCCTCGGGCTCCTGAGTAGCTGGGACTACAGGTTCATGACCACACCCAGCTAATTTTTGTATTTTTTTGGTAGAGTTGGGGTTTTGCCATGTTGGCCAGGTTGATCTTGACTCTTGGCCTCAATTGATCCATCTGCCTTGGTCTCCCTAAGTGCTGGGATTACAGGCATGAGCCACCATGCCTGGCCAACAACCCACTTCTAATAAGCCTTTGAAACTAGATTCAGGCTGGGCACAGTGGCTCACACTTGTAATCCCAGCATTTTGGGAGGCTGAGGTGGAAGGATTACTAAATCCAAATATTACTAAATCCGTCTCTACTAAAAATCCAAATATTAGCTGGGCATGGTGGCACATGCCACTAGTCCCAGCTACTAGGGAGGCTGAGGCAGGAGAATGGCTCGAACCCAGGAGGTGGAGGTTGCAGTGAACCAAGATCGTGCCACTGCACTCCAGCCTGGGTGACAGCGTGAGACTCTATCTCAATAAACAAACAAACAAAAACAAAACCTAGATTCAGTTTTTCACTTCTATGAAGTGTTTCCCTACACACCCTGCCTCCCCAGGAGTTATAGAATACATACTTCCATCATTGTCCATCCATGTTATTTTACACATATTTGGTTTATGTAGCTATTTTATCCAATAGACTTCTCATGGCGGGGACTGTGTCTTATTGATCTCTGTGTACACCAATCTTGGAACATAGTAAAAGCTCGATAAACATTCATTGAGTAAATTAATTAATACAGCCAATGGAAATGTCACAAGAGATTTACATACAACCATAATATTAATAACAGTGGTGATAATGATAATGAATAATGATGGTGAAGATACTGTGTGAGAAATCCTGTGAGGAAGACAGGATGCATACATCTATGTTGTAATGTTGCTACACAGGAAGATCCTGCCTCTGTGGTGACTAATACAGTTATTAGTTAATGATTAATGAGATTAACCACGACATATTGGGCTTTAAGGAAACTGAGAGGCACATTTGAAGTGAGATTTTCATCCCTGTGCAGGCTCTATGCATATCTGGATTCTCTTTTACCCTTCCTTGCTCCTAACCTTTCTTATTTTTTCATTTTTCCCTCTGATTTTCATATGTTTTCACATTATCATCACGTCACGATGTGAGTGTGTTGTGGGCTACAACAGAAGCCTGTGGGCAGTGGTGCAGTGGGTTGTGCTCCAGAAGCCCCTCAAACCTGAGTAGGGCATGGCCTCGATCCTCCCATGACTAGCAGGGCAAGGCAAAGAATAATATATCCTAAAAGAGAAGACTTGGGCAGAGCTCTCGACGTAACTGTTTAACTCTTATCCCTGCTTATTTTCCGCCTGCAGTAGCCAAGGCTGCTCTGTAATGTGGGGGCAGCACTGTGAAGGCATCATGGACAGCTGAGGGTTTCCATGAGTTAATTGACCTCATGCCCTCAGAACTGCAAAGGAGGCCACCTTTATAACACTTCATAAGTGTGGGCAATCGCCATTGTTTGTGCACAAAAGTATCCACATGGGGGGCAACATGGACAGTGGAAAGAGGCCAGGGTAGAGATATTGGCTGTGTCTGGTCGTCCATGGCCTCACGAAGAGGCCATGCCCCTCTGAGCCTGAGTGTTCTCACATCTCAAACAGCAATCAAGCTTAGAGAATCCCGGTGATCCCTGGGTTCTAACGGGCAGTGATTCTGTAGCACCCATGCCCGCACGCACTGTGGCAAGAACAGGAGCCATCTTGACGGAGCTTTAAAAAGGTGGTTCAAGAAGGCCACATTTGCTAGAATTGCTATGGGCACTCAACTTAGAAAATACAACCTTGCCCCACCCTGGCTAAGGCCAGTCCCATCCTTGCCAACTTGGAAGATATCTGAGGGGAGGGAGTGGAGAAACTGCTCCTCACATTCAGGAAGTCCTGGGCCCCCCATCACCAGATCCTGCCCTGCTCCAATCAGGATGCTGGGTCTCCCCTTGAATTAGCCTCAATGCCTTTGCTCCTTGCACATTGTCATCGGCTGCTTATTGACTCAGAAGGAGGAGGGCACAGCCCATCTCTTTCATTAGCTCTGGAATGAACTCAGGTGCTGGGAGATGCAGGATCTCCACAATTTCAGTGGCAGCTGTTTGGGTGACAACAGAGCCTGGGAGGATCACAGCACATCAGCAGGATCAAAGACCCTTCGTGGATTTCATCATTCCACTGAGCACCCGTAACTAGATTTGGTTACTTGGAAGCATTACTTAAAAATAATTGCTCTATTTTTGGTAACCATTTGCATAGAAATACATTATGTTAATATATTGGTTCATCTTAGAAGGATTCTCTTTGCTTTTATTTTGTATTACGCATGCATTCTTGGTCTCTGAGAAAACTAGAATCTCTTCCAGCTATAAAGAATGTACTTAAATATATTGTTATTTCAGACAAATGTCACAACTCTCAAACCTGATATAAAGATAATTAAAATGGCATATTTTTCTATATCATAAAATATAGATTCACCCTGAGACCCACTCCTGGCAACACATCACATTATTGAGTCTAATAACTTCATAGACAATATGCACTCCAGAGATGGGAATAGAAAATACATATTTAATACTTAAAGGAAAATATCTTTTCTCTAAAGGAAATGAATTTTTACCCTGCCTTTTTGTAACTGTCTGCTTTTATTAAGCTACTATTACTCCTGCCCTACAGACACACATACCCACACACATCCACATACACCTGTCACAAAGAAGTGGGCAGTTTGGGCTGCTTTAGGGGCATTTTTGAGTGAAAACAACGTGATTTTTGAAGTAGACACAGGAAGAGACTGTCTCTAGTCCATTTGCCTCTGACCATTCATTCCTAGTTGCCATCTCCATTCCTCTTCCTGACTGGGATCCATGGCCTGTGACAAAAATTGAATGCCGTCTTCAGCTTCCAGATTGAGTGATTTCTGGTCTTTTCCTCTGGGAAACACCCAGAAGGCTGCCCCTGACCTTGGATTTCAGCGTCTTGTGCCAGTCACTGGAGCAGCAACAGGGAGAATGCTTCTGTGGTCTCTGCTGTCCCCTGGCTTCCCTGTCCTCCCCGCTCCTCCCAACCAGTGGGATACCAGAGGACGAGGAAACATCGTGTCACCCAGCCCTCTGGCTCACCTTACCCTGTGATGTCATGCTCAGTCTGTGTTCTTAGACTCAGTTCTATCATTTCCTACTGGTGTTCCAGAAAGCAAATAACTTCACTCTCATCTGAGGCAATTATATTAAATTAATTAGGTTAAATTGGGGTCAAAGTCAATTCTAAGTTATGAAACATTTTTAATGTGAAAAAAATCTCTAATATATTATGCAGTGAATACATCCAATAAAAATTATTATTTCTCAGGCTAGGCAAATGAATAAATCCAAGCTTCCATGTATTAAAATATTTGTTAAATAATTAATGTTCTTGGATCAAAGAAATCTTAAGAAATGGATTTTTCTAATGGTTTCTCTTACATAGCAACAGACACAATGGACACTGCTCTAACAAAATGAGTTACTACTAAATGTCTGGAATGTTAGTTTATTTTAATTTCTATCATTTGCTAACAGTCAGGGCTACCTAAGTTATATAAATGCTACATATTTTTTGATGCCAGTTTCAACCTTAAGGATATTTCAGACACAATATTGATCTTGTCGACCACTTGTAGTTAGTTTTTATTAATAAGTAGACTAAAATCAGATTGACTCACTTAAATGTGCTGGTTTTGACTAACTTTACCTAGTTACACATTAGATATCTGTAATATTATTGCACAGACACTTGAGAATTATCCCCGGTTCTACTACAGAAAAAGAGTCAATTTAATATAAACTCTTATATAAACAGGGCAGAGTATGCCCAAGAGTATCTTTTTTCTATGGTGAGATCTTAGGACAGACCTATCAGGACTTCACATAGGTCTGGTCAAAAATCAGTAGACCAAGCAGAACCTTAATTTTATTTCTAGTGGGTTCTTTAATCGATGGCCTGGATTCTACATTTTCAAAGACCCATTTTTACCTAAGGCTTGGTTCCAGCGTTCAGTCAATAATCTTTTAAATGCTCAGCTAATCTCAACAAGATAGTGACCTAGCCCTTGAGTCAGCATTTGGGTGCTGGGAACAACTGATAATTATCATTCATTGGCAATTCAAAAAAACTAATTTTTACTCAAAGTTTTTTTTAATATCCAGAAGAATTAATTGGATATTTTTTCAGCAGGACTGAGGGACTTCTTAATAAAAATTTCAGCTAGCTTAGGCATCCATTACAGAGACAAATTATTATTTTCCATTAATAGGGCTTTATGAAAATATTAAGATACACTCTTGCTATTATAGCATTTAAACAACACCTCCCTGAAAGTTCTTTTGCTCTGAGAAACACAATTTGACTCACATTACAGTTAACGCGATTTTAAATATACCAGTGAAACGATGCCTGCGGTTGGGGGAACAGAGCAAACTCAGACTCTATCAACCTTCTAAACATGAATCTTGATAATTTCATATGGAGAGAATAAATATTTTTCCACTTGAATACTCCAGAATACCTGCAGAAATAAAGACTTACAAAAACAAATACTAAGAAAACTACCTGTTTAAGGAATTACAGAAAGATATACAATGAAACTGTGTGTAGAAAATGCCCAGGTGGTCTGACGCCAGAGACCTCAACTGAATTTCACTCTGCCACTCAACAGCTCTGAGATAAATTGGTAGTTTAAATGCAAGAGAGTTTGTTGTGTTTATCACTGCATCTCCAAGATCTAGAATCATACCTGACATATCTAGTATGCACTCAATAAATATTATATGTGTTGAAGTTATAAACAGTGTTTAAAGTAAATCATTTAACCTCTCTGAGTTTCTGTATTCTTATCCACGAAAAGTGTTGAATCTAAGCAAAGGAAATGATCCGAGAAACTACAGAGAAAATCATGTTGTAGCCATCAGAAACTTTTTTAAGTAGGAATTTGCAACTTCATTGCCAACCTCAAGTGTTCAGGCTTATGAGACACCAAGCTGGGAAAGGATATATGTGGTCCTGGCCAGAAGACAAGGGGAAACCCTTGCTGTGACATCCTCTGTGTAAGTTTTAGAGTGACTATTTTCCCCCCAGGTGTGTGCATCTGGGCTTTCTGGCCTAAGTGACTGTTATTATTTGACCTTCAACTCCTTTGGCTTCTGTTGATGTCTGGCCAGCTTTGCTTCTCTACCCTATTTTGACATAAGACTGTCTTAAAATGTGTGGACTTTCGTCATTCCATAACTAATCCATTTCTTTCTTGAGCTCCCCTGTTTTAGACAGGTCCACCTTGATCCACTGTTACGAACAGCCCAGTTTGCCACCACAGCTATTATGATGGTTAGTATTAGGTGTCAACTTGATTGGAATGAAGGATGCCTAGATCAGTGTGTCGGGGAGGGTATTGCCAGAGGAGATGGATATTTGAGTCATTGGACTGGGAGAGGAAGCCCCACCCTCATTGTGGGTGGGCACCATCCAATCGGCCGCCAGTGTGGCTGGGACAAAGCCGGCAGAGGAAGGTGAGATGAGCAGCTCTGTCCGAGTCTTTCATCTTTCTCCCAGGCTGGATGCTTCGGTCTGATCCTCCTGCCCATGGGCATCAGACTCTAGGTTCTTCGGCTTTGGACTCTGGGACGTGCACCCGTGGCTTGCTGGCCTCTTGAGCTTTTGGCCACAGAATGAAGCCTGCACTGTTGGGTTCCCTGGTTCTGAGGCTTTCAGACTCGGACTGAGCCACTACCACTTCTCTCTTCCCCAGCTTACACAGGGTCCATCATGGGACTTCACTGTGTAATCATGTGTGCCAGTTATCCCTAATAAATTCCCTGTCATATATACATAGATCCTATTGAGGGATATACACCATGTATACATATATACACATATCCTCCGGAGAACGCTGACTAATACAGCTACTAAAGGAAAATCTGATTTGCGCCACTTTTCTAACTTTGTTTCTATATGTAGTTCATCCACTAGAAGACTGGCTATATCCTGTAAATACTCCTGTTTTTTTCTTTCCACATAAATAACTCCACTCAACACTGGATTCTAACAGAGCACCGCAGCTCCTGACTGATACAGGAAGGGGGCAGGGAAGTGCTGGGAGGAGAAGGTGGGGCGGTCCCTGGCAAGGGCTCCACCCCAGGCCTGTGTCCACGGACCTAGGTGAGAACAGGCATGTCTGTTTTCATGCCCAAATGTTGCATTTTCCAGACCAGCCTGGCCTGTCGTGCTCCCATCCCGTGCCTATAGACACTCTGAGAGCCTAGCGGGCAGACACGCCAGCGGCTGGCGGTTGCGAGACGCAGAGGGGTGGAGGAACACACCGGGAGACGCCAGCAGACGCCGGCAGGCCGTCTATGGCGGGACAACCGGGAGAGGAGTCGGGCTGCTCAGTGGAAACAGTCTCCAGGGGAGGCCACCTCTCTTCTGGTTCCCATCCATCTGCTGAGAGAGCTGCTTTCGCCATTCAATAAAACTTCGCGTCCGTTCTCCAAGCCCACGTGTGATCTGATTTTTCCAGTACACCAAGGCAAGAACCCCGGGATACAGAAAGCCGTCTGTCCTTGCAGTGAGCCGGAGGGTCCAACTGAGCTGGTTGATACAAGCCTCCTACAGACAACAAAATGAAAAGAGCACACTGTGACACGCCCACTGGGGCTCCAGGAGCTGTAAATACTCACCTCTAGATTCTGCCGTGGGGTCAGAGCCTGCGCTCCCCACCACCTGCCCGTCTGCCTGCTCCCCTTACGGGTTTGAGCAGTGAGGCACCGAAGAAGTGAGTCACACCCCCATCGCATGCCCTATGAGGGGGACATAGGAGCTTTCCCTGTTTCATGACCATCCAGTGGAAGGGATGGCTCAGGGAGGCTATGGAGATTTCTTTCCGGGAGTTGGGTTGGGAAGGACGTTCCTCACAAGGTTGTTCATGGAACTACAGATCTATGAAATATTCCTTTATTTAACCAATTGTGTGTGCTTACCATCTACGAGGCACTGCTTGGCAATGGGGACGAGAGAAAGAGAGTGTATAGAGCCTCTGGTCGTGGAATTTGCAGCACAGTGGGATTAAATGAGAAAGGACTTCTGTGAAAAAAATCGACAAGAGGTGCATGGAGGCCTAAGAAGATAACCTAAGGATATAAATTGTCAGAGGGCCAGAGAAGGCTCCGCTTAGTGCGTGGTGAGTAAGCTGGGAGCTGATGAGATGGTAGAGAGTGGCTGGGTGGGCGTGGCTGGTTGAAGACTCCAGAAGATACGGCTGTGTTCACAGGCAGGAAGGTGATCGACACACTGGGGAGCAAATGAAAAAGCCAGAGGTGGGGGAGGGGTAATAATAGAACAGATCCCATTTATCAAGCAGCTAGAAATCATTTCATTGAATTCCACAACAATCCTCGAAGGTACTTATTGTCCCAACTTCAGGGGTCATGAAAGTGAAATTCGGTGAGTTGGAGAGAATTGTTTGAAGTCACATGGCTGCTTAGCAGAGAAGCCAGAATCAAACCCCAGATGCATTAGAGATTTCTCTGCAATGCTGAGCCTTAGATCAGAGTGGAGCATGGAGCACAGGCCTGGAGGAAACAGAATCATATATTCATTCAAACGGAGTTAAGAGAAAGCATAAATGGTAGAAAGAGTACTGAGGAAGAAGGTGGAAGAGAATGAGGTGGAGAGTGAGTAAGTCTAAGAGAGTTGGGGTAAAATGTGTAAATCCCAGGCCTCTCAGCATCTGCATGTGTGTGGTTGGGGGTCGCGGGAGGAATCAAAGTGTGAGCCATATGGATAGTAGCTAGGGTATGGCTGTCCTGCTTTCCTTGATTTTGTTTCTGTTTTTGTTAATACAAATATAGGGGTAAGGACAACATTTGCTATGGACCTGAAGGCTAATTTGGATTTTTTTTAATGAAAGCTATTAAAATCTCTTAAATCTATTTCTGTTGGGTGCTCTTGGTCCAAGCTTATTATCACCTTTTCATAAATGATTAGGTTAGTCCAACTGGAACCACAGCCACTCTGATATACTTGCTAGACTGTTCTTAGTGAAGAGTTGATAAACTATGCTTTCTATTTAGTGTTACTGTATACATTCTTTGAAAAATGGATGAAGCTTTCAAATAATCATATTCAAATGTACTTCTACTTCTGACATTTCCTTCTAAGTAAGCAGGTAAAAGTCATTTCTCAACAGCAAGGATGGTGCCAAGGTAGATATAACATATTTTTAAAACAATTTAAACATTCTTTTACATACATAGTTTTAAAAAGCATTTTAAATATTCTTTTTCACATATGGCAAATAACGTGATTGCCATGTTAAAACAACAATAACAATTATTTGGTAAGTAACTTATAATTATATTCCAGGAAAAGGGGGAGTTAGAAGATAATCTTCTTAATAACCAGCAATCTGATCTCTGTGCTTTGTACTCAAAGCTCACCTTTTCCTTCCCATCTGCATCTCTTTAAAGATCAAGTAATCCTGATGGGGGACCTCCAACAAAATCTTGCTACTGCCTCCATTGAGGTGAGCTGTGATCCTCCCTCACTAATAACCTATGAAGAACCAGAAGTCAGATACTCTTCTGCAAGCAATGGCTACGATATTTTCCCAATTGTTAGCCATTTCATTTCCAAAATTTCATTTGAAAATTTCTATAAGACATGTTAGGAAGTATTGATAGGAGACCTTAGTGAGAAACTACACTCGCATGATGTAAATTGAGTAGAGACAGCTCAGAGTGCTTTTAACCTGTTCTCATTTTCCAAGGCTCCGCAATGATCACCATTCTATAAATACACACCTCTAGATTTTGCATGTTGAAATAGGGAAAAATGTAGGTAAAGGCAGACATTGCCTAAAATATATTCTAAGAGACACTAGCTTGGAGAGATGCCCAGGGATAAAAATGTTCCCAAAATCCAAGTAAACTTGAGTGAGGCCGTGCACATTTTCCCTCTCATGGTACAATAAACCTTAGTGTAAAGACTTAGAGACTTTCAGTATATAGAATCTTGTTTCAATATCTTAACTCAGCTTTTCCCCAATAATTGCTTAAGACTAACAATTTTCATGACAACAATTATTCATAGAGCCTATTTCAGTGGTGCTTTTGTAGGTGAAAATTATGGGCAATTTTCTGATTTTTAAAAATCTATTACTGACATTACTTATTTGTCCTTTCAAAAAGATACAAAGCTGAAAAGGATTTTGAAGTTAGCTGCTAATGTGGGGACTGAGGTGCCCATCCATACTCATGGGCATTCACAACAGGCCAATTTCCTTTTACCACCCTTGGCCAAAATTACAGGATTGGAGGACGCACATTGTTAGCCCAGCCCATCCCCCTCGACCTCATTCATGCCATCACTAGAGTCTTCACAGAGCAATTTCCAGCTTGCTTTCTGTGCTCCGTGCCAATGCAAATCCTGCCTGTTTTCAAGGCCCATGATAAATCCCATCTCACTTCAAAGCCTTTCCTGAAGATTTGCTTCCATTTGGCTTAGTTCAATAAACATTTATTAAATGATTAATTCATGTTTCACTCTGAACTGTGAGCCAGAGATACAAAATGGAGATGTCTCTCTGCCCTTAAGAATATTAAAATCTGACAGGGAGGCCAGTCACAGCCGCAGTAAAGCCAAAGCTCACTCTGGGTAGCACTAGAGGCCTGTCACCACGAGAAAGGGATACAGGAGGCGGCGGCGTAAGCAAGGCTAGTTAGGGTCCAGGTGCTTGTAGCCTTGTGTGCCTTGGATTTACAAAGGCAACTGGGAAACTTGAGTTTCTTAGGATAGACACACACACACACACACACACACAAACACACACACACACATACACATAATAGGATCTCCAAGGAAACCAATTATATTATATTAAAATACCAGTATCAAAATATTTTTTAAAAAATTAGTAACATGAGATTTTAAAGTAAGGAATCATATAATTCATGAATGAAATTTAGTAGCAGCTTAAATAACCACAAACATTTTGAAGATGGAAATATTATCTTGGATATGTGTAACAGTTTTAACATGGTATAAAAATATCTCTTATCCATACTGTGGACCGTGTCTCCAGATCCTGTACACTCCTGTATTCTGTTGGCTATAATTACTGCTAAATTTCACTTTGGAAGCTAGTTAACATTAAAAAAGTATTCTTTTCCATTCAAATTTATTGATCCCTGCTGAATTTATCCACACTCATTAACATTAAAATCCCTTCAAGCTTCCCCAACCTGAGGCCCTTGGCCACATGTGGCCCAGGACAGCTTTGAATGTGGCCCAACACAAATTCGTACACTTTCTTAAAACATCATGAGATTTATGCAGGCACTTTTTTTTTTTTAGCTCATTTTTTTTTTTTGGCTATCATTTGTGTTAGCATATTTTATTTTATTTATGTATTTATTTACTTTTTGAGACGGAGTCCCATTCTGTAGCCCAGGCTGGAGTACAGTGGTATAATTTCAGCTCACTGCAACCTCTGCCTCCTGGATTCAAGTGATTCTCCTGCTTCAGCCTCCCGAGTAGCTGGCATTATAGGCACGTACCACCATGCCTGGCTAATTTTTGTATTTTTAGTATAGAGACAGAAGTTTCACCATGTTGGCCAGGCCAGCCTTGAACTCCTGACCTTAAGTGATCCACCTGCCTCAGCCTCCCAAAGTGCTAGGATTACAGGTATCACTCACCACTCCTGGCCTTGTTAGTGTATTTTATGTGTGGCCCAAGACACTTCTTCTTCCAGTGTGGCTGAGGGAATCTGTGTTAGTCTGTTCTCATGCTGCTAATGAAGACATACCTGAGACTGGGTAATTTATAAAGGAAAGAGATTTAATGGACTCACAGTTGCACGTGGCTGGGGAGGCCTCACAATCATGGCAGGAGATGAAGGAGGAACAAGGGCACAATTTACATGGTGGCAGGCAAGAAAGCGTGTGCAAGGGAACTACCCTTTATAAAAGCATCAGATCTTGTGAGACTTATTCACTATCGCAAGAACAGCACGGGAAAGACCCACCCCCGTGATTTGATTACCTTCCAGGAAGTCCCTTCCGCAACACATGGGAATTATGGGAACTACGATTCAAGATGAGATTTGGGTGGGGACACACCCACACTATATCAGAATCCAAAAGACTGGACACTAACCTGAAGTGACTCAATAAGCAAAATCTTTACCCAGAATCAAGAGACAGGTTTTGGGAGATGAATACAGTTGTTCAGGTGAGCAGGGGAATTCAGCGTATTCAAGACAAATGAAAGAACAACATTTGGTAAAATAAACACATGTCATAGTGTACGTTGTTGTCATATGAATTACACAGGAGAGAGGTGCCTAGTGATGCTCAGAAATAGATAAGAAACAGACTCAGAGGCCTCTTCTGCCATTGTGAGTTTTTTGGTTCACATTGATGTAGTTGTTCTAACAAAAAAAAGTATATCTATACACACAAATACACATATATGACATACATGAGATGATCATACATACCTATGTGTATGTGTGTGTGTACATATGATATACATGGAAACATAATTATTTCCCTAATTAGGATACACATTTTTAAAGGCAAGCTTGCATTCTGTGTGTTGTTTGTTTCTCAACAGTGTTCTGCAAATCACAGATATCCAATAAAGTCTTCTTATATTAAAATCTTCCTTAATGATCTTCCTGATGACTCATCCTAGGAAATTTGTATCACAACATGAATTGTTAAAGTTATTTTGTAAACAATTATTCAGATATAAAGGCAAATATTTATATGCTAAAATGTTCAGTGCACCCATGAAGCATTGAAAACAAACTGAATGGAATGAAGCACAATAAGGAATTATTTAAATAAATTATAATGTAGGCATGTGATAGAATATGGAATTATATAATCATTAATATTATAATAAAGAATATTAAAAGTATGGGAATATATTCACAATATTTCTATCTTGTGAAAATAGGCAACAATACAACCTGAAGCCATATTTATACAGACTTGCACACAAATTTAAAATGGTAAACAAATGTAAGTGGTCATTGATTCTTCAGTGAAAGGGCAAATTGTACCTGGGGCTGACAACCCTGAAGTGGTGCTTGAGGCAACACATTTATCTTTGGACATTAGTGCATTTCAAAGACATCCGCTTTAAAAAGTCAACCAGTGCTGAGAAACAAAGGAGATTTGGGTTTAGAAGAGGAGTTTGCAAATGAATATGTGTGGAAAATGATAATTAAATTAAGAAAAAGCTTACAGCTGGCCCATATACTTCATTCAGGAAGCACCCAAAATAGATCCATTGCCATTCTCTGTTTTCCTGTGGTCAGCCTGAGGTGGGGTGATTCAGACTTTCACCTGGGTGACACTGCTTCTTCTTACTGGTGCTTGAAATTGCTGGAAATAGAAACAAATTTGAGTTTGAATGCCTTCACCTTAAGATGTAATGATGGCTGAAATTATTAAACTTGTTACCTGAGAGGTATGGACAAGTGATGGAAGGACAGGTGCATGAAGGCACTGGGCATAAGAAGCAGCACAGGAAAATGCACCAGCAGGAGCAAGCCCAGGAAACGGCAGTTAAGGGTCTTCCCAAGTTTCTCCCACCTGAAGCTGAGACACGGCCAGGTTACATGCTCTGTAGGGGGATTAAGAGGCTGAAAAGAGGTCGGTTTCTCACCTGGAGAACCAGTTCTACCTTTTAGAATTGGGTTATTTTTCATTTTATAGATCAGAAGGCAGAGAAACAGGAAAGAACCGTTAATTATACCTTTGATCTCAGGGACTAAATACATTAAGAAAAATGTTCACTACAGTGATGCTTACGAGTTAAATAAGAATTGGCATGCTTAATGAGGTCAAGTAAAACTTGGGAACCAGAAAGGACAATTGACTTGATCCATCTGGGAATCCTTTATTGATATCATGAAGATTTTCAAGCCATGAAAAAAATACTAAACATTGCATAGCCTCTGGTGCCTCGGGCCCTTGAACAGCCGCTTCCTTGCAGAGTCCCGTTGTCTCTCCTGACCTCCCTCATCTTTCTTTCCATCTTTCTCTCCTCTTTACCTATGCAGGCTCATACACATCACTATCTAAATTTGGCTTCAACAGGGAACTCCTCCTTGACCCCTCAAGACTGAATTCGGTGTCTCCTTGAGGTTTTCTCATACTACTTCGTGCATGTATCTATGGAAGTACTTAATGTTTTGTCTCTGTTTCCTCCCTCAGGCTGCACTATACCTGCATGAGATGGTTTGTACCCCCTCAGGCTCGTCCATCTGCAAGCTGTAGCCATTTGTCCCAGCTCTTGCTCAGACCAATGTCACACAGGCACAACTGGACAACGTCCACTTCACACTTCCATCATGAAGCATGAACACCCACGAGGCAGATGTTTGACCAGTGAGAGGCTGGAGCCAGTAGAAAAATGTGTCTTGCTTTCATCCCCTGAAAGACTGTCCTGAGAAAGAGTTGTTTATATAAGCTGTGTTCAGGCATTCCTGTTACATGAATAGATAAGTAATTTAAATGTATGCGTGCATACAAGTAAAAAGGTAAAAGGGTCTAAGGAATGTAGGCATCAGAGAGAGCAGGAGACAATAAAACTACAAACATCAATTTTTAATTGTGCAGATTACACAAAGTTTAAGACACAGAAAGCTTGGTTTATTTTTAGAGTACTGTATTGCTTTTGCTTTTCTGAAAATGTGGACAAATTGGAAAAGGTTCAAACTATAAAGTTAATGATTAAGGAGATGGAAGAATTGGCTTAAAGGAGAGAAAACACATTGTCAGGACCAGAGCAACTCTCAGCTTGACTCTACCTCTGGCTGCGGGAGAAGATTGTAACTTGAACATACCACAAGAGTGGGAATACCCTGGAGTGAGAAGTAAGTAGCATGAAATAAGGGGGTACAACCTAAAAGAGGAGTAATAAAGAGGAAATTATCCCCAAATGGTCAGAGATGGTGTTTCAGCTCCAAGATTTTGACAGTTAACTTATCAAAGACTTAGAAAAGACAATTTTGAGGAATTGTGTTCTCATGGAAAGAGGAGATCATCAGGGTTGTCTCTCCATCCTAAATGCTGGAATCTGGCCTTTGAGGCCAGAGCTTGGCATCTGGATGTAGCACTGCAAAATGGCAAGATGAAAGAAGATGAAGAGCTTTCACTGGTGCAAAGATTGATTGTGAGCTTAATTTACAGATTATTTGCAACTGAAAAAAAAAATAAGCAAAGAGCAGAGCCAGCTTTGCTGGAAAGAGACGTCTCTAACCAGGAGCGCTGGTTTCTGGCCAAGCTCAATTTGATGTTTGACCTTAAATAAATCATGTCAGTTTCCTGAATATTGATTACAAACAAACAACAAACACATCAATAAGAAATACAAAGTTTACCATATAACCTCAAAGGGTTTTTCTAAGTCTAAAATTTTACTTCTCCTTCCTATTATTTTTTAAAAATAAAAATAGCCAAACCAAAATCTTTCCTTTACTCAGACGTGAGCTACGTTTTTCTCATGTTCACATTAAGCTTGACCTAATGTATCTAATCAGCTTCTATGACAGCTGTTTTCCATTTTCTGTTTGCTTGTTTTGCTAAATTTTGAGGTCTTCAAAAAGTCTCCTTTGTAATAATGTAGGAACTTGATATATTCCCCCAGGTTGAATTCAGAAAAATGTCAAAATCTTTGTAAAGGTCTACAGCGCGCCTTACAGAATCTGCTCCTGACTTCCTAAGAGCTGATTCCCTGTTTCTCCCCTGCTCATTTATTTGGCTCTGAGAACACTGTCTTCCTTAATTATTCTCTGTCCATCAGGCTGGTTTCCACCTGGTCAATTGGCTTAGACTAGAACACCACGGCATCCCTAACCTCAGGTAGGTCGTATCTCGCACCAATGCTCAGCTCCAATTCCCCTTCCTCTGTGTACAGAGCATGTGGGACCCTGCCCACCAGCCTCTCTGCTCTCCTCCCCGGCTCCCTTAGGCTTTCTTCTTTTGAACCTCTAACCTGTATGTCTTATAGCCCTGATTCCAAAACCTCCTCTGTAGATCTTAGCTGCATGGGACATACCCAGGGAGCTTGGGAAGGGCACAATTCTCTTGTGCCTGCTCCCAGGGTCTCTGAATAGGTCCAGGTGAGGCTGACACTGTGCCTCTTACAGGCTTCCCAGGTATGTTATCATGGGTACTACTGGAGAACCATGGCCCAAAACCCACCGTTGGCTTTTAGTTTCTTTGTTTTCATGTACTCACCTGGGGAGCCTGCCAGCCTGAGGGCCCCCTGAGACATCCTTCTCCTAAAATTTCTCTGCAGTGACACAAGTAGAGAACCTGCAGGTTGGGATCTTTGTTAATAAATGTTTCAGGCACACAGAACAAAGCGTAGTCTCAGGAGACATTACGGGCAATCAGATTTTGTTGGTTTTTGATTTTGTTTTTTCTTCCATATGAAGGCAGCTGGAATAAATGAAGGCATGGCAGTGGGCTCTCCCACCAGGATCCAGAAGCCACAGGCCAACTACAGCAGTCCTTCGGCCATCAGGGATGCTCACCATTGTCACAGACGATGGGAGTCCTGGCACAGACCTTCACACCATGTCACTCCTGTCTCACCAAGAAGCTTGGAAGGAAATGTCAGCAGGACTATAATTGCTGAGTCCTGGGGACAACAGTGCCACTTCCCAAGAAAATGGGACTGTTTTCAAGCTGTAAAATCAATTGTAAAAGAAATAGCTCTTGGAATGAAGCCCAGTGTGTGAGATTCAGGTTGTGTTCTGCAGTATTTGCCCACACTGCAAGTCAGCATGCAATTCCAGCTGATGAAATACACTGTAGCCTACACCATCTTTACTGACCTCACCATTATTTCCAGGCCATCTCAGATGTGCATGCTGTTCTTTGCCTTAAAGGAAGCCAGATATTAAAAAGAAAAAAAAAAACCCTAAAGTAAATTTACCAAAACCACTGGTCCAAACAAGCAACAACAGTAACAATAACAACAAAATCATGGAAATAAGTATTTTTTTTTAAGTATGACAAGCAAAAGCAGTTGGTGCAAATCTCCCCAAAACAGGTTGGGCTGAATGACAGATGTTGCCAATGGCTGACGATAGGATTGAAATCTTACAACAAGTTGTAGGAGGTTTTCAATTTCACTGTGGGCCTGCCGTCCCTGGGCCCCAGCAAAGCCTCCCTAATGAGGCGAGCCCTTGGTCTGGGCAGAGCTCTGCAGGCTCCCAGAGAGCAGCATCCCGGGAGAGAAGCACCAAGCAGGCACAGATGGGGCTTGATGGATTCTAAAAGGAAGGCATTACCTGTCGAAGTCACTGAGCAGCCACAATTATTACAGGTCTCTGGGTTCATTGTCAATTAGAGTGGCAGTTGAAGCCAGCAGCAGCAGTGACAGATGGCTTATCTCCAGCTAGTTGTGCTAATGGGATTGGAGCCAACTCAAATCTTTTCTTCCCTCTGGAAAGGGGGAAAAAAGAGATCCTTATAGTTGTCAATTAGTCAATGTAAAAGGGGAGAAAGCATCATTTCTACAAAGGGGTCATTTATCTGTTTCCTTCTAATTCCTATTTCTAGTTTTTTGAAGTAGAGTTTCTGTTTATTTATTACTTGCTTCAAACATGTTTTAGTGGAATGTTCAACCAGAGGGCATTTTATATGGAATCTTTTTTCCGTGTGAACTTACAATATGGTTTTCTCATAATTGAACCATTTCAATCAAGTGGTCTTAATTGGCCAATTTTTTTTTTTTCTGGCTGAAATTTGTGGGCCATTCTCTTAGTTACACAGTACACAGGGCAAAACAAGCAAAGGCTGCTTCTGCACACAGAGACTTATGTGAAATACAGCCCAGAGAATCTGGCTAAGGGACAACAATAAAAACAATCCTTGCAAACGACCACATTTTAAGACCTAATGAGGGTGTGAGCAAGCACTATGTAGGCAGGGGTGCTGCATCCAACAAGCAGCCTGTATGGTATGGCAGGAACATGGCCTCAGTCTGTGTGAGGGATGCAGCCTGGTCCAACGGCTTCATGGGAATTGGTTGACCAAGTGGCAAACACTAGTTCACATTGAGCCAGTGACGGCTCTTCCTACAGAAAAGGGACTTTTGGAGCTAAAGATCAGGAAGCTCTTTGCTTTTTGTAGTGGTCACTCGTTGATGACCCTTGGCTCTGGTTGTATGGAGGGAAAGCCCTGCTCACGGTGAGCCTGTCTCTGCGGGACTGCCTTTCTTCTTCACCCAGGCTCTACTTCCCCACCACACATATGCACACGAACAACGGCTTTCACGTAATGGTCTCATTTCACATACACTGATAGGACTACTTTAAAAAGTTCAGGATGAGATTTGGTTGGAAATAAAGACATCACAGGTGACTTAAAGACAAGAAATAACAAGAAATTAATGAACTTTAATTCCAAATAAGCCAACTTTGAGGCAAAACTATCTTTTTTTTCTATTTAGGGAAATTGTAGTAAACCTATGGGCTTTGAGTGAGGAAATGGTAACATGTGAGTCTTATTCCACATGTCATAAACTTATTTTTTATCTATTGTTGAATTTATACCATTATGGACAGTTTGAAGAATACAGAAAAAATGAAGTAAGAAAAATATCTACACACTCACACAGCATCACACACATGCTGTAAAAAAATATTTCTAATTAAAAATAAAATATATAGCTCTTTCTCAGCTCCTTAACAGAAGAGCCTGCAGAGATTCTTGGGAAGGCAGCCTGGAAAGGGGTGCCCAACACCTTCAGTACTTGCGGATTCCCAGTCTCCTGCAGGTGCATCCACACTCGGCTTCCAGCAACTCCTTGGGGCTGTCACTGGGGTGTTCTTACCAGGTCAAGTCCCCAGTAGCTTCTGCGCCAGCTCTGAACATAACCAGGCAGGAGTTCCGTGACACGTGGCACAAGATGTGAGGATGGGTCACTGCTTCTTGCTGTTTGGTCACTGACAAGGCCAGCTTCCAGCACGTGGACTGCTTCTGCCAGCTCATCCAAGGCACTGAAGGCAGGGACTCATTCCTGACATAAGTTCAATTCGATTTGATTGGATACACTTGGGGAAAATAAGAAACAAGGAAAAAAAGACCTCAGTCACAATATCCTGTACACTGTACTTTGAAATCAGTGCCAAGGCCCTGCCTCTCAATATCAGCAAATACTTCCATAACTTCATTAGAGTAACTAGACAACAAATTTCTACAGAAAAAAAAAAGCCAAAGGAAAAACAATCAAATGATGGAGACATCTTGCCATCAATTGCAATGACTGAGGTTGCACAGGCTGGAGGCCTTGCAGACCTCTCCCTGCCCAACTGCACTGAAACCATTTCTAACCAGGACCTGGGGCCCTAGGACTTAGCTGGGTAAGATGGAAAGAGAGGGTGGACAGGGCAAAGGGCGGGACTGGGGTGCCCAAAAGGCATGGCCTTCCATTCTGTCACAAGAAACAAGGAAATCAGCTGTCAGCAGGAGCGGCGACCATGTACCTCATGGGTTGATTCAACCCGATTCCTGCCCTGCTCTTAGAGGGTGTGTTGTTTCTTCTAACTACTGAGTGTGGGCTTGATATGAAAGTGTGCCCACACATACATAGCACAGAAGGAACCCTGGACAAATGTCCCCCTCATGCCCCTCCGTGTCTGGGCTTAGATATCTTTTGTAGATTTTTCAATTATTTTAGAGTATTATTTTATTAAAGGGGTCTGTGTTCAATGCATAGTGGAAAAATAATTGTATACATACATGTTATATATATATGTGTGTGTGTGTATACATGTATACACGAGTATATATGGGTATATATGAGATTCTATGTACATAATTTTTCTATTTTTATTCACTTAATATTATACAACAACAGTTTTCCCACATTCTGAAGATTCTTTGTAGAGATATATTTAATGGTGCCTAATATTCTAATGTCACTTGCTTGTCACTCAATCATAGGTTGCATCTAGTTTTTCACAAATTTATGTGATTTCTTCATATATGTGTGTCTTTGTGTTTATGTGATTTGCTAAACATAGAAAATTAACATTTTTGCGGAAGCACTCTGTAATCTTAATGTCCTAAACCCTGTCTATTAATAAGTCTAGCAGTTTTTCTCTGACTCAGTATCTCAATTATTGCCTCTAGGCGACTGGATCAGGGAGTCTCTTCCCCAGCAGAAGCCCCAGTCCCAGCTCTGCCTGTCTCTGCTTTAGTATCTGCCACTCAGACCATCCATCCTGGGCTGTGCTGGTCCCTGTCCTTGCATTATTCCTGGGCAGGCAGCCTGGATTCTGACTCCCAGTGTGTTGTGCCATCATTGGCTGGGTGAAGTTTCTCAGGTTGCTCCTTCAGCAGAGGCTCCCAATGCAGATTTTAGAGGCAGGGACACACCCTGTTGATGAATTTTCTCCCTTTTATTCCATCATCTTCTTTCCTTCCCCTGCATGCCCTGATAGGCTGCTTACTGAATCTTTGTCTCTGGGGTCCTGTTACTGGCCCTTGACTTGGTTTCATATCTGTGTGTCTCTCTGTGTGTGATTTACTAGAGATCTAACAGATGGACATCTCCTTGCTGTAGGAGATGGTTGTGTAGCAGACAAAAAATGAATATTACCTCCTTCTTCTTGGCCAGGCCCAATTCTGCACTCCTGCTCTGCATGCCTTATTGTTCCTTGCAAATGTTGCATGGAAAGCTAAAGTTTAGGGGACATTACACTAAACACATCACATGCAGTATCTCACTTAATCTCCCAACATCACTTTCCCCATTTTACAGAGAAAAAATAAATGGCTATAAGAGATTGAGAATTTGAGAGGAAGTGAAGAAAAGGGTTTTCAAACCCAGTAAGCATGAGAGATGAGGCCCTTAACCACATGGCCTCAGAACTCCATGAGGGCAGCTGTAATGTTGTTGTAGATGTCTGCCTGTCCCCGCTTATCTCTAATAATGGCATGTGGCCAGGAGAGAGAGCTCTTGACAATCACATTTACCTGTAATCTGTAGTGGGCTTGTTTCTTCATCTGTAAATAAGGCTGCCTTTTCCAATGTTGATTAATAATGAGAATGAATGAGAGGGCACAGCATGGGGCTTTATGATATAATGCATTTGGATAAATAGTTGCTTTTCATTTACTTAGTGAGCCAGTCATTCAATTAGCCAACCATTTATTCTCTGAATAATAATTTTTTTAAAATGCTTTCAAATGTTCTAGACAATGAGATACAAAACTGACAAAGCCATAGCCCCTGCCTTCGAGGAGCTTTCTTCATTTCATAGTCAGGAAACTTATGCACGATCACACCTGGAAAATACTTTCCACACTGGTAGATGGACACATTTATCAGCACAGATAAGTAAAGAATTACAGCAAAATCCTAAAATTTACTGGTGCCCATCATGGGCATAGACCTCTATGTCTGAAATTAAAATATTAGTAAAAGTGTAAGCCATTGATATTTTCTTCTAGCAATGTTTAAATATAGAAAGTTCATGGTTCTTTTTAAAACAGATTTTGTTAAAGAGGGGTGGGAGTGTGGTTTAAAATGTCAAGTGTTCTGTCCAGTGCAGTGCTCAACAAATGCTCCTGAAAAACGTGTGAAGAGAATGGTCCAATTGTTCTCATAAACATGGACTATACCAAAAGACTTTTAACTTCATCGCTCACCTCCCTTCTTGTGAGTATAGAATCAACATTGTCTGATACCTCTTAATGTTACACACACACTGTGTAATAGGGAAAGAGAGACAGCTCCCCAACTTACTGGGTCCCATTTGTAACTCAGTGGGCAAGCTCCCCAGACTAAATCGTTGGATTTTAAAATTAACACCTTTCCATCAAATTTTCCATTGCTGAAGGCATCTTCTTCCTGTACTGACAAATCTATATCATATTCATAGAAAACTGACCTTGGGTAAGCTAGCAAAGAAGTTCACTTTTCATACATTTGTCTGCCTTGATGGATGGAGTTCCAAGACTTCCTAGAGTAAAAGAATGTGCAGACATGATTTGCTTTAAGGAATGGATTTACTTAAGCATTAATCATTCCCTTGAGAATTAATCCTTCATCAATAGCTTAAATCCTTTGTAACTATAAAACTCACCCTTCACAAACATTCATGGTCCAGAAACCAACTCTCTGTGAACTTGATTATCCCTGGAGCTAGTGAATGCCTATCTGTACTTTTGGAGATCAAGTCCCCATTCAAGAGTCCAAAACCCTCCAGATTTTCTTATTCCTGGTATTTCTGTTTGAGATGTTAACAGAAAAGAGGAACTGTACCAATGCCCACTTGGGAAAGTTGAGTTCATTTTTCACATTGTGCAACAAAGACATGTATGGTCAAGATTGTGAGGAGAGGCACTGAGAACAAAAGAGATGCCATGAAGAAAGACTCCCAGACCCATCCAGAGGACACTCACCAGGTCATCAGACCACCCAGGAGAGCTGAGCTGGTGTATTAGTTCATTCTCACACTGTTAATGAAAACATACCGGAGAGTGGGTAGCTTATAGAGGAAAGACACTTAATTGACTCACAGTTAAGCATGGCTGGAGAGGTCTCAGGAAACTTACAATCATGGTGGAAGGGGAAGCAAACATGTCCTTCTTCACATGGTGAAAGGAAGGAGAAGTTTCAAGCAAAAAGGGGAAAAGCCCCTTATAAAACTATCAGATCTCATGAGAACTCACTCACTATCATGAGAATACCATGAGGGTCCCCACCCCCATAATTCAATTACCTCCCACCAGGTCCCTCTTGTGACACATGGGGATTATGGGAACTACAATTCAAGATGAGATTTGGGTGGGAACACAGCCAAACCATATCAAGTGTTGTCTTCCCTGTACTAGTAGTGAACATTTTTAGCTGCTTTGCAACACAAAAATGTAGGATTTTTTTCCCTTAGTGCCCTCACTCATTATAATTATTTCCCTATGCATTGAAAGAAAATACCAACTTGACCTACATAGGAAGCAGAAGAGAAAATAGGCTTATATAATCAAATTTGGAAAAAGTTCTCTGAAATGAAATAAGCCTCAATAAAAATGATGGGTGTGTTGTTTTTTGATGCTTAACCCCAAATGTGCTATTTCTCATGACAGTTTATGAGACAACCTTGAAATGACTGAAACTTGCTGGGAAAAGAAAGCATCTATGCCACTATCTGAGTAGGAAAGATGTCTATACTGTGCATGCTGTGTACATTCAGGTGTCTGGGAGTGGTGTGTTCCCTGTGACCCACAGTTTCTTCTTGTCTAGAACTGGCAGTCACAGTTCTTCCTACTCTGTCTGACTAGGAGTCAGGGTTAGATCCAGAGTTCAGATGCAGAGCAGAGTCATGAGTGTGAACATGAGGACATGCAGGTATCTACGTGCCATATATTCTCATGATTATCCACTGCATCTTCTCTAATCTCCTAGTCTGTGGGAGGATCATTTCTGGTGACCCAGGCAGAGAGAAGAAAGGCACGGTCCTGTCTCCCAGCTCTCACCACGTGCCGCAGATGGATAAACTTGGTCACAGCAGAGCGGCAATCAAAGTCATTGAACGATGAAGGCAGGGACAGGGATACATGGTCAGACAATCAAGATCCTAGCCCGTGGTCCACTGATATTACTTCAGAAAAGTAATAGCATCTCCAAGAATGATCTTTATCATTTTCGAAATGAAGATAGTTCCTACCTCAGGGTAGCAGTGAGATGGTCAACAATTGTAATATAGTCCCTAAATCATAATGCATGCTTAATAAAAGGACAGATTGTCTGAAAGAGAATAAATTATGAAGCCATTTTAACATATCTGGTGGGAAAATTACGAAGACCTGAATTAGGACTTCAGAGTGGAGTAGGAATTACAGAGCCACCAAGACATCTGTGTCTGAGAATAGTGGGATAGATTGTTCAGACTGATCTTCCTACAAGAGGATGAAATTAAAATAAAAAACATTTGTAACAATATATCTAAGGGTTAATCAAATAGTAAGGATTTACAGGGCCAAAAAGTGAGAAAAGGCCAATAACCCAGAAATACAAGTTTAAAACTCAAATGTACTTAGGTCTTGAGGGCATTTGGAGAGCAGGAAGAAAGAGCTGTGAAAGTGAGCTGCATTTTTGGAAATGTAGAATAGCAAGTAGATCAAGTGTGAAAATCATGGATCTCCAAATACCACTTCTCTGATAATCTCAATTCACTTTACAGGTGAGAGGAACCACACCTGAGTCAAATCATCAACCAGGCAGAGATAAATGTCCAGGGGAGTTTAAGTCTGCACTCAAATTAAGATGGTTCCAGACCAGAAGTACACTCAGTTATCTGCTAGATGCAACTAGATATACTCTCTGGAGAAAAGTGAAATTATTCTAGCTCACAAATTATGCCTGCACGTAATTTTGAAAATGGAATTACAGCACAAAACAAAGATAACTAGTATGCAAGGAAACAGTACACTATGACAAAGAGTTAGAAAAACAAAAGACAAAAGAAACATCCCATTAAGATTTGATATAATAGTGATTAGCTACAGGGTAAAAAACAAGTGCATTTGCTGTGCTTAACTAAATAAAAGATACACTTGAAAATACTGGCAGGCAAAAATAAATGTTTTTAAAGGTTAGGGAACATTTCATAAAGAATTTAAAAATACACCTAGAATTATTTAAAAATATGTAATACACGAAGTTAAGGACTCAACAAGCAATTTAACACCAGTTCAGACATGGTTAAAGATGATGTCTGCAATGCAGGTGAGAGGAAATTTTCAGAATAAATCACAGTGGCACATAAATACCAAAAATATAGAAGAGAGAGTAAAGAATGTACAGGATAAGTGAGAAGGTCTAACACAGATTTAATTGAAACCTCAAATGATAGTAGAGACATAAAGTGGCAGAGGTTATGCTGAAAGAAATATTGGCTAATCATTTTTTAATAAAGTAAAAGACTGAAAATTACTCATTAAATAAGACTCCCAAATCCCTACTAAAATGAATTTTTAAAAATCCACTCTTAGAATTACCATAGTGAAATGTCAGGAAACCGAAGATAACGAGAAAAGTTTAAAAGTGGTCAGAGGGAAAGACAGATTACCTTCAAGGCAGGTAGAGTTAGACCAAAAAAAAATTTTCTAAACAGTGAAAACCAGAAAATAGTTACATAATATCTTCAGTAGGCTAAAATTAACTGCCAACTTGTAATGTTACTCTGAGGCAAAAATAACCTTCATCAATGAAGGCAAAATAAAAATATTTTTAGGTAATAAAAAAACAGAAAAATATTCAACTGAAAAAAACTCTTAGAAACCTCTCCTGGAAATTATACATACATGCGTATCTATACATAAATATACATACACACAACCGTAGCATATATATAATTTGTGTATATATATACACACGTATAGATTGTATATATATACACATATAGATTGTGTATATATATAATTGCATCTATACACACGTATATTGTATATATAGTATACATATATAACTGATATATAATCAATGCTTATTATTGATTATATACTGTAATTTATTATATATCAATATAATCAATTATATTCCATATATATGAAATATATATTTTATATGTATATGTATAAATAAAACATAAGAAGAATCTGAAAGGGGAAGAGAAGCAAACTCAGTGGCTAGAAAACTATGGGCTCAAATGGTAACATGGTGGTCAATTCCCTGGATTATCAATTTGCTTTATACATCTCAGACCTAAATCTGAAGAAGTCAATAACCTGAAAATACCAATAGGTACAGAAAAAAGCCCAAGAAGAGCTTTCTCCTAAAGAACTAGATATAAGGTAGCCTAGCAAGAGGAAAATCAAACAGAGATATTAGAATTATCTGACAAACATTTTGAAGTAGCTGGCATAAAAATATTTTAACAAGCAGTGAAGTAGCTGGCGTAACCTTGTTTTAATAAGCAGTGAAAAACACACTTGAAACGTGAAAAAAATAGAAAGTGTCATAAAAGCAATAGAAGATATAAAGAAGGAGTAAATGGGAATTCTATACTCCAAAAATCACAATTACTGATGTAAAAATGAAACAAAACAAAAACACCTCAATTATACAATGGACTGAAGAGAGGAACAAATCAATGAACTTTAAGGTAAATTAATTGAAATTACCGAATCTGAAACAGGGAGAAAAGAGACTTAGAAAAAATTGAACAGAGCCTCAAAGATGTGTAGAACTCTACAAAAATACAACCTTCATTTTGTCAGAGTCCTGAGAAAAGAGAAGAAAGATAGCAGGGCTGAAAACATACTTGGTAAAAATAACAGCTGCAAAATTGTCAAATTTGTCAAAGATATAAACCTATAGATACAAGCAGGTGAGGGAACCCCAAATAGGGAAAACCAAAGAAATACACATCAAGACATATCATAGTCAAACATTTGAAATCTAAAATCTAAAATGTTTTGATTTGAAATCAAAACATTTGAAAACATTATGACAAAAATAATACTACCTATAAAAGGAAAAACAATTTGAATGACAGTAAAATTCTACAAAAACCATGAAAGTCAGAATGAAGTGGCAGAGCATTATGCAAACACTAAAAGAAAATAATAGTCAACCCAGCGTCCTATACACAGCAGAAGTATCCTTCAGAAATGAAGGAGAAATTAATACTTTTGTAGATAAAGCAAAACTAAGAGAATCTTTTTTTTTGCCAACCAACCTACCTTAAAAGAATGGCTAAAAAAAAGTTCCTTAAAAAGAAATTATTTTAAAAAGGCGTATAGAAACATCAGAAGAAAAGAACATAGTAAGCAAACATATGGTAAATACAATAAGCTTTTCTTCCTCTCTTTTATTTTCTGAATGGTGTTTAACGATTGAAGAAAAAATTATAACACTGATATATTTTTAAATGTATGTTGAGAAAACATTAAGAAAATTATACTATACATAGGAAAGAATAAAGAGATGGAAAATGCAGTAATTATTCTGCACTCAACTCAAACTGGTAAAATGTTGATACCAGTAGACTCTAATGTGTATATAATGTAATGCCTAATATTTCAAATATTGCAGATAGAAAGGTTGGAGATATATATGTCATGAAAATACTAAACAACAACAAATAAGGAGTGGCTGTATTATATTGACTTGACAATAGAAGGGACAATCCATAAAAGAAAAAATTTGATATACTAAACTTCATTGAGATTAAGAACTTACACTCTACAACATACTCTGTTAAAAGTTTTCTTTCTTTCTTTCTTTCTTTCTTTCTTTCTTTCTTTCTTTCTTTCTTTCTTTCCTTCCTTCCTTCCTTCCTTCCTTCCTTCCTTCCTTCCTTCCTTCCTTCCTTCCTTCTTTCTTTCTTTCTTTGTCTTCTTCTTCTTTTTTTTTTCTTTTTTTTTTTTGAGACTGAGTCATGCTCTGTTGCCCAGGCTGGAGTGCAGCGGTGCGATCTTAGCTCATTGCCATCTCCACATTCTGGGTTCAAGCGACTCTTCTGCCTGAGCCTCCCAAATAGCTAGGATTACAGGCATGCGACATCACACCTGGTTAATTTTTGTATTTTTAGTAGAGACAGGGTTTCATCACGTTGGCCAGGCTGCTCTTGAACACCTGGCCGCATGTGATCTGCCTGCCTCAGCCTCCCAAACTGCTAAGATTATAGGGGTGAGCCACCACACCTGGCCTGTTAAAAGTTTTTAAGGACATGCTACAGTTTGGCAGAAAATATTTGCAAACTACATAGCTGACAGAGGGCTATAATCTACAATACATAAAAAAAACTCAAAATTCAGCCCTAAAATAAAAGTACAATCTAATTAGAAAAAGAGAAAAAGACAAAAAAATGGGCCATTTCACTGAAGATGATCTATATATGATAATAAGCACATGAAAAGATGTGTAGTCTTATTAGTCATTACAGAAATGCAAATTAAAACAACAATGAGGTATCACTATGTGGATATGAGAGAGGTTTTGTTTGTTTGTTGTTGGTTTTTTTGCTTTTTAAACAAAACTAAACATACAACTACTGTACAGTTCAGCAATAGCACTCCTGGGCATTTATCTAAAAAATGAAAACTTTTGTTCACATAAAAACCTGTACATGGATGTTTCTAGCAGCTTTATTAAAATAGAAATTGGAAACAACATAGATGTCCTTCAATGCGTGGATGGTTAAACAAACTGTGGTATGTCCATACAATGGAATGCTACTCAACATAAAAAGAAACAGACTACTGATACTGGTGATAACTTGGATGTATTTTCTTGAAATTATATTGAGCAAATAAAGTCAATCTACAAAAGGACTTATGTACAATTCCATTTATATAATATGCTTGAAAGAAGAAGAGATGCACTACAGTGGTTAAGAGCAAAAACTCTTGTAAATCTCTTTGAATTCAGACAGATTTAGCTTAAGATGTTTATCTAATCTATATTATTTAACACCTCTGTGACCTTAAACAAGGTTTTAGAATCTAAGCTTCAGGTTATTTATTAAAACCTGTAGAATTAGAAAGCTAACTGATTTTATCTTATTATGGTGTGACAAAAGTAATTGAAATAATTCATGTAAAGTGCGTAACAAAATGACTGACTCTTTTGAATAGGTGATGTCTTTTATTGATCTCCACTTTTCCAAACTTTTCTTTGACATTTCTCCCTATATAAGTAAATGGTGCACCTTTCTCCCAATTATAGATGCAAGAAACCAGAGTCATATTTGTCTTTTATATCTCCCTCACTTTAATATTGAATAAATAATGAAGTACTTTTATTTCTACCTTTTAAGTCAGCCCAACTCCTTTACTCCCTCCTGATTGCCATTTCAGCGTCAAAAATATAATCCTATAATCAATCATACCTACATGTTAGCACACACACCTACTTGTTTCCTCTGTATCTTCTGCCCCACTTGTACCCATTTTTGTGTTTATAATGTGAGTAAGCACTTTTGCATTTTGATATATAAATATATCACTTTCTGCTTAAAAATCCTATCAAGGCTTTCCACTGGCCTTTGAGGAAAGTCTAAATCTTCAACACAGCTCTCCAGCAGTTCTCCAGATAATGGTCTTGACCTCTTCTTCCAAGTGATCTTGTGTCTGTCTCCTGGCAGTGTGCGCTTATTTTGTAAACATGTTTCATCTCCCTTAACTTGGGGCCTTTGTATATGTGATTCCCTCTTCTTGTAAGGCTCTTCATCCTCTCAGAAATACTACTTCTGTCCACAGGTCCTACTGAAATTCCATTTCATTTGAAAGTATTTTCCTATTGTGACCCAAAATATTAAATACAGTTGCAGCTATATATTTCCAGAGAACCTTTTAGTTTCCATTTCACAATCTTTAACCTCCTTATAATACATCGGTTTGTGTTTTTTTTTTTTCTTCTGCTTATCCATTTAACTCATAACTATCATATTTACTTCTGTCTTCTTCACGGGACATAGCATAAAGTAGGCACATGGCTGGTGTACAATATCTTTTTATTAAATTGCTTTTGGATATGTCCTTTGTTAGCCTGGCCTTCCTGGCTCTGCACCATCATTCCCCAAGCTCTACACTTTTAGTCTAAGTTTGCCTTCCCTCCACATCAAATAGGAAGACACACACACACACACACACACATACACACACACACACACTCTCTCTCTCTCTCTCTTACACATATGTTCCATGTTTAATAATTTTTTTTTTTTTTTGAGATGGAGTTTTGCTCTCTTGCCCAGGCTGGAGTGCAATGGTGCAACCTTGGCTCACTGCAACCTCCACCTCCCAGGTTCAAACCATTTTCCTGCCTTAGCCTCCCAAGTATCTGGGATTACAGGCATGTGCCACCACCAGGCCTGGATAATTTTGTAGTTCTAGTAGAGACGGGGCTTCACAATGTTGACCAGGTTGGTCTTGAACTCCTGACCTCAAGTGATCCACCTGCCTCGGCCTCCCAAAGTGCTGGGATTATAAGTCTCAGCCACCACACCTGGCCAAATAGATATTTTAAATCTAATTTTGCATAGCTCTTCTACTTTATGATTCCAGTGGCTAGTAGCCTTTTGGAGATGATCCAGCTTTCAAAAACAAATGGTCCTTCCCATAGTCACATATTGCTTCAGAAAATGTTTACTGATACTCATATTATGATAATGGTAACTACTATTTATCTATTTTCAAACCACTTTATGGCGGTATGATTGATATATAAAAAGCTATAGATATTTAACTGATACAGCTCAATGAGGTTGAGCATAAGTATATAATTGTGAAGCCATCACCACCATCAAAGCCATAAAAATATCATTCATTTCCCACAGTTTCCGCTCATGCCCACAATTACGGTAGTTTCCCTTTATCCATGGGGAATACATTCTAAGACCCTCAGTGGATGCCTGAAACTATGAATAGTGCCTTATATATGCCTTTTGTTTCAACTACATACATTTCTATAATGAAGTTTAATTTATTGATTAGGCACAGTAAGATATTAACAAAAATAGCTAATAATAAAAATAAAATAGAACAATTCTAACAATAAACCGATATAAAAGTTATGTGAATGTGATCTCTCTTTTTCCCTCTCTCTCACTCAAAGTGTCTTATTGTACTGTACTTGCCCTTCTTGTGATGATGTGAGGAGATGAAGAGAAGTGAATGATGTAGGCATTGTGATGCAGCGTTAGGCTACGACTGACCTTTTGACCGTATATCGGAAGGAGGATCATCTGCTTTGGGTGGTCCTGGATCACTGAACCATGTCGATGTTGACGGTTGGATGTCAGGAGTGGACAAAGTCAATGGCGGACGGTGGATAGCATATGCAGCATGGGTATGCTGGACAAAGGGACGACTCATGTCCCAGGTAGAACACAGGGGGATGGAACGAGTTTTCATCATGCTACTCAGAACGGCATGTAATTTAAAACTTACAAATGGTTCATTTTTGGAATTTTTCATTTAATATTTTCATATCATAGTTGACCACGGCTAGCTGAAGCTGCAGGAAGTGAAACTGCAGAAAAAGGAGGAGTACTATATTCTTCCCATTATTATTATTACACTGGTGAGAACACTAAACATAAGATCTGTCCTCTTAGAAATTTTAAGGAGAAAAAGACAATATGGTCAGCTATAGGCATGATGCTGTCTAGTAGATCTCTAGAAATTATTGAGCCCTTTTCATGTTCCAGGTTCTGTATTAAGTATTTTATTTATATTTTATTTAAATGCTATAAAGGTTCTTCAAGGAAGAATTTAAAAGAGTACCTCATGTACCTCAGGGATCCGCTGTTTGGCAAATGGTGTGCCATCCCACATCTACCGTAATTGGTTCAGAGAAGGGCAAGTGATCGATTTCTGGACAAGAAGATGTGATGGTTTGTTGTTTAACACTTTCCAGGAAATACATTCCTTTATTAGTAAATGAAAGACACACAAAGAAATAGTCTTGTTATAGTATGCAGCTGTGAAGGATAGATGTTTCATAGAGAGTTTGCCATGTCAAGGGAATCTAAAATGAGGGAAAACACACAGATGGTGGTGGTGGTGGGTGGAAGGAGCTGAAACCATTCTGTTACAGTATTATTTCCCTCATTGTACAGAGAAGGAAATACTCATAATAGAGGTATTTTGCGCAAAATCAAAATGTGACAAAGCTGAGACTGCAAACTATTTTTTTCAACTCCTAAACCCATGTTTTTTCCCACTGAATATTGAAATAACTATTTCTTTTTCAAATTAATACACACTGGAAACAAATTTAGGAGAACATGTGAAGAATTCCACAGTTGTCCTAGTAGCATTTTGTTACCTCAAATTCAGGGCAGTGGAACTGAATTGCAGTGCTGAGCTCTGCAATATCATTCTTCATGAAGGGCATAAACTTCACAGGAATAATTTTTAGAAAAAGCGGTTGAGATTTTTTAGAATCTCATTTCTGATAAGAAACAAAACTTAAAGCCAAAATTTTATAGGTGATGAATGTTTTGGCTGTATCCCAGTAATTATCACTCACCACTTTCATACAGGAATAAATCAGATAATGAAAATTCTGAGAAATTGCCCAGAATCTATAATCTTAATGGCCATTCATTTTCTTACTATTAAGATACATTTTACTTTGTATGGTAAATGTAAAAAATATATCTTTTCTAGTGATGTGGATCCATCTGTTGTCTCCCATGCTTTCGAATTTTTATTCATGGTATTCTGAAAAGTCAGACATTAATATTATTACTCCCTAATGTTTATCCCATGTTTCAAATTATGATACACATTTAGAAAATATAGCTAATTGCTGCACCAGAGACCTTTGCTTTGCCCTGAAAAAGAGAATAAATGATATAACGCTACAATAAAATACTGTTTTTGTTACCAAAGCCAGTTAACAAAATATTCTAGCTTGAAGGGAGTTATTACACATTCTTTCCCCGACCTCACTTCACTCCACCCCAATTCAGAGGCAGTAGTGGTTTAAGAAAAAGACCAAGTACATTACATTCTGGCACAGATTCTAGCTCTGTCATATATAAATTGTGTACATGAAAGTTACTTAACCTTTGATATTTAATCAAAAATTACCAGGCATGCAAAGGAGAGAGACAGTATGACACATAATGAAGAAATAAATGAAGCAGGACCCAGGACTGACCCAGATGTTAAAATTAGGTGGCAGAGACACTAGAGTTATTACAATTATATTCCACACTTTTAAAAAGTTGAGATAGGAGTTATAAAAAGAACAAAATTGAATATCTAGAGAGAAAAATTACAATGTTTGAAACAAAAAATACATTGGCTGAGATTGCTGGTAGATTAGACATTTCAGACAAAAAAGCTAGAGAATGTGAAAACATGGACAAAGACATTATCTAAAATGAAAAGAAAAAGATAAAAAAATGAAATTTGTACCTGTGAGCTTTGGGCAAACTCCAAGTAGCCTAATAGATACATAATTGGTGCCACTGAAGAAGAGGCGAGAGGAGAAAGACAGAAAAATATATTTGAATAGTTGGTGACAGAATATTTCCAAATTTATGACAATTGTCTACCCACAGAGCTAAGTAATTCAAGTTACCTCAGGATAAGACTTAGAAAGAAAACCACACTGGGGCACGTTATCATCAATTTGCTCAAAATTGGTGAGAAAACTATCATCGTAAAAAATGAGAGGAACATGCGGTGTTTGGTTTTCTGTTCTTGTGAGAGTTTGCTGAAGTATGATGGTTTCCAGCTTCATTCATGTCCCTGCAAAGGATATGAACTCATCCTTTTTTATGGCTGCATAGTATTCCATGGTATATATGTGCCACATTTTCTTTATCCAGTGTATCATCGATGGACATTTGGGTTAGTATCAAGTCTTCGCCATTGAGAATAGTGCCGCAATAAACATACATGTGTATGTGTCTTGCTAGGGGAGGGCTAGCATTAGGAGAAATACCTAATGTAGGTGATACGTTGATGGGTACAGCAAACCACTATAGCACGTGTGTACCTATGCAACAAAGCTGCACATTCTGCACATGTAACCCAGAACTTAAAGTATAATAATTAAAAAAATAGTAAAGTTAATGTTTAAAAAAATGAGAGCAACAAAGTTGCAGTAGAAACAAAACAAAGTCAAGATGACAGCAGGTTTCTTATTAGAAACAATGTATGAGGAAAAACGGTGGGGCAGCACCTGTAAAGTGGGGGAAGGAAAATCCCATCAACCTAAAATTCTATACAGAACAATAGCACACACAATGAGAGTCCCAGAAAGAGAGGACAGGGGAAAAACAAACCAAAACAAGCAAACAAACAAAAAACAGAAAAGTATTTGAAGAAACACAGGATTTTTCTTGACTAAAGACCTTTTGGTTTTTGGTAATTTTTTTGTTAAATTCCACACATCTAAAAAAGTTGATATTGACTTTTCCCCCTATTTTTCTCATTGCTTTTATAAAGGAAAAGATTTTAAAATATATTTGCACTGCCACTGGAATAGAGCTATATTTTTGCTATGTTGCCTAGATAAAGAATCTGATTTTTACAAAGCTATAATAATAACTAAATGTGTGTTTGCAATAATAAGATATCTTTTAAAATAGATTGCTGAAGGAGAGAAAAATCATCTTTCTTAAGCTGTCATGTGTGCTGTGAATGATGTACGTATGCACAAAAGGGCAACTTGTGGTCTCCTTGGAGTTAAAAGAAGAATTACTCGAATGAAGCCTGTTTGGAATGTAACTTTTGCTCTCATTTTGAGTTAGATTTGTTTACTTTTAGTGTGTGTGTGTGTGTGTGTGTGTGTGTGTGTGTGTGCGCGCGCGCATGTGTGTATTTGTATGTGTTCTTATGGCCTTGATATTCAAATTTCCCATAGCATTAGGGATTTCTTTTCCTTTTCTGGACTAATTAGAGTAGATTATTTTATAGTACTTACAGAATTGTTCTTTACTAGTGGTAGAATAAATCATTGGAAATATACAGCAATTTTATATGAGATACAGAAATGGTGATTTTTTTCAAGATCACATAACTTATTAGCAGAGTGAGAACTAACATCTGATTTTTAATATCTAAGTGTAGAACTTGATGGAGGTAATTTGTTATCATTATCTTTATGCATGCAATATGATTCTTATTGCATAAAAATACTTGAGCCAACAGTAGCAGATTTTAGAATTTGAGAAAACATGACTATTTTTGTAATACTGCTGAATTTGTAATTTCTTACTATAGGTTTTAATATTTCCAAATATTTAATATTTCCAAATATTAATATTTCCAAATATTTAATATTTCCAAAGAGCCACATCTTTGGAGGTCCACAGTGTTTGAGCTAAAATAATGTCCTTGTTTTCTTTGTTCCTTGCCCAGGTGAAATCTTATATGACTTTAGAAATGCCCTTAAATTTCAGGACAGGTGGTGCCTCTTTCCTCAGGAGATTCTGGAATCCAGACGGCTGCTTAGAGGTGAGAACACCAGGGCAGAGGTTTTGCACCTGCATTTGGGAACCTGTGGTAGACGCCCATCTTAAAACTCTATAGAGACTTACCCCTTTCAAAGCACTTGCCCTTGAGCTGATTTCTGCTTCTCTGAGGTTGTCAGCTTTCCCCAGGCAAATGCTGCGCAGCTCTGGATTTGGAGAAATTTTATTGTTTATAATTAATCAAGGACAAACATGTCCTTGTTTTTGCGTGTTTATTCAGTGATTCCAAAGGGGAGAAACTCATAATTAATGTAACTTATTGACTCTGTTCAATTAAAACCAAAGAGCAGCAGAGGTGAAAAAGAAAGGCATTGCCTCCCAGGAAGACAAATAATAATTCTTACTTATTATTAAACTTAAGAAAAATTATAATGTTGTAGAAAGTCTGTCTAAGATAATAGTTTTATCAGCATTCAAGTGACACTAAGAAACCTGGTTCTCACGATTGAAAATAAAAGGGTAATAAAACTTCCAACTGCTTACTACTAGTTGGATATATTGAATCTTCCACTGATCCATTTGGATACTCCCCCAGAGGAAGTTTCCTTCTTCATACAGGTGTGGGGGGTCATCAACATCTCTTGTAGGAGAACATGCACGAGTGCTGATTCCATAGAGGTTCTAATTCCAATGGTCTGGGGAGCGCCCCTGCCAGCCCCATAGAAAACCTCCCAGTAATTATGAAATACAAGCAGGCTGAGAACTGCTGAAGCCAGTGTTTACTGAAAGAGGCAGTCTTTAATAACGGCAGCAAGATGAGTCAGATAAATACTTGAATCTTAGTTTATCAATTTTTTTCCATAAATATGGAGCACTCAGTAAGTACCAGGCTAAATGCATGACTGATGATAGAATCTGTGAACAAGATAGACATTGTCCCTAACTAATGGACTTTGGTTATTACTGGCTTGGCGGTGTTTGGCAATGCCATAGCTTCAGTTTAATTATGTATAGAGATGATGATATTCATCATATAAGATTGTGTGGGGATTGAGCGATCTAACGTGTGCAAAATGCCTGGTGTAAAAAGGAACTCTATGAAACATAACCCTCACCATTCCCATACACACACGTATATAATGGCAGCTTTTGCTCTACTTACATAGCCAACTATGCAAGTATGTCTAATTAGAATTGGTAACCTAGAGAAGGTTCGATTTAACAGGCAGACAACCTGCTGATTAGGAGACAGATAAAGTTTGGAACATAGAGATTCACATTGTTATTCTAGTTTGAGCATAGCAATAATAAAATATCTGTTTATCAAATGCACATGTTGTGAAAGGCGCTTTATATACATTGTCTGAATTCTCAAATCAACCTCAAAAGTTAGATATTATTATAATGATTACTATGATGAAACTGAATCTCAGAGACTGGGTAACCTGTGTCAGGGTATGTGGGATATGAAGTTAGCTAAAGAGAGAACGGGACTCACAAGCTAGCTCTCTAGGACTCCAGAGTCTGTGTGCATGGAGCAACACTGTGTTGCCTCCGAGTTGTAAAGCGTTGAGCTAGCGATTCCTCCTCTGTGACTTGGGTTCCCATCTGCCAAGTCAGAAAATAATATCTCCCCAACATTATCTATTTGAAGTGTAGAGTTCAATGTAACACACACTTACATAAAAGTTGTAATGTGTTTTAGAAACGCAGCTTTTTCTAAAGACTGCCTATTTTTTTTAATTTTTAAAGATTTATTTGAGACAGGATCTCACTCTGTCACCCAGGGTGGATCTGCTGGGCTCAAGTGATCTTCCCACCTCAGCCTCATGGGTAGCTGGGACTACAGGTGTATGCCAGCACACCTGGCTAGTTTTTAAATATTTCATAGAGATAGGGTTTCTCTATGTTGCCCAGGCTGGTCTTGAACTCCTGTACTCAAGCAGTCTTCCCGTCTCAGCCTCCCAAAATGCTGGGACTGCAGGCGTAAGCCACCATGCCCAGCCTACCTTGTAATTTTTCTTTTTCTATCAGGCTGTGATCTCCCAGCCACAGTTGAATCCATAATTTGATTAATTTAACCACAAACAGTTCCTCCAAAGTAACCTATATGATGGTGAGAGACAATTTTCGGGTTCAGTGTTAACATTTGGACAAAACAGCATTCTGGATTTTAGTATTTTCCCTTCTGAGGGAGAGAAATCCATTTGCTGAAATGGATTCACTTCAACTCTGAAGATGACATTTCTCATTAAGGTAGATTTATCTACACAGAAACGTGGCTAACAGCACTTCGCAGGAACATGGCATTGAGGAGCTTGCCATGGGAATCACCCCAACCGGGAGGCAAGGTCTAGCAGATCGCCAAATCCTGTGGCTCTGAGGCTAATCTCGGGGACCTGCAGCCTGCTGCCCCTACCCTGGACCAGGCAGAGATGGGAAGAGTTTCCCTCCATGCTGCAGGCATCAGGGTGCTTCATTCTGTATTTTATTTTCAGGAAGGGGACTAGAGCTTGATACCTTATCTGTTTTGTGTGTTTCTCCTCCCCCTTTTTAAAGGCAATACATTTCTCATTGCTTCAAATCATTTTTTTTTTTGAATTAGGTAATAAAGAAAGAATGAAACTACTTTATTTGGTAAATCTCATTCATTCATTGATTCATTAAAATTTTATTGAGGTCTTTTGTCTCTGATGCTATATGAGGTGCTCCGAAATGCTTTGGTCTTATAAGACAGAAGTTCTCAATGATATATTTACCTCAACAATTAAGCTGTCCTGGATGAAAAGCTTAACCTTGTATAGGGTGGTAATTGGCTTTCCACAATATGGTGTTGTTGATTTCTCAGGAAACAGTAAATAGAGGCAAAGAAAGCCCTTCTGGCTTGTAAAGCTCTGTGCTTCTCTCTAGTAAACTCTGATTACTCACAAGCATCCACAGGACCATTAATCTCACATCAAATGGAGAAATTAACTCCAGGAAAAGCAAGCTAAACCCCCACCCCTAAACCTCTCAAAACCCCAACATCAAAATGAGCATTGAATATTCAATGTTTTATGAAGAAATCGCAGGAAATTAAAGCAGCCTGAAGCTCATGAATCAGAGGAGACCAAACATGAATGCGTCTGTTTGGTGGGATGGCTGGGTGCCGGGCTGTATGCGTATTCCTAGGGCCTGAAGTCAGAGCAGCAGCTGGAATGAAATCTGCCAGAAAGCCTGGGTGAGTGGAGTCTAACTGGGGTAAACCACCCTTTGCCCACTACAGTCTTCAGAAGGCTGACGAAAAAGAAGAAAGTAATATTAAAACCATCTCCCTTGAATGCTTAATATTTCCAGGGCCATGAATGATTTATGTTTCCAGACATAATGTGCCAAACTCCATACTAAATGCCAAAATTGCTTAATACATTTTCTTAGAGTGAACATTTCCTTCTTTCCTCTTTCTGGTTATCTTTAAGGACACTGGGGCTGCATGATTCCTGATTTGAAAAACAAACAGGGAATATAACGGCCGCTGTTGTATCGCTCCTGACGGGGCTGCGGATCCGGAGCCAGCACATTCGGTTATGGTCCCACTGGCTGCATCCTGGAGTTTGTAGCTTGGGAGGTTCATTTGTCTTTGAGTTTCATGTTCCTCATCCGATGAATCAGATTAGATCAGATCTGTTCCCAGCCTTGCAATCTAAGGGCTTGCAGGTGAAATAAAGTTCATTCTCATGCTATTTTCAATATTTCAAGAGGCCTGAGAAATAGCTGAAATAGAATAAGATTGCAAAGAGAAGTAAACAGCATGTTATCTTTGCTTTTGCCTAGAATGTTTGTAGCTCAATGACAGAAACACTATATCTGGTGGTCCTCTACTATATATTAAGCACTTTATATATAAATCAAATAGAATTATTATGAGAGTCACCATTTTACAAATAGGGAGTTTGAGGCCAAGAGAGGTGAAGTGACTCACTGAAGATTGGGGCCTGGCACAGCTCCTGCCGGTGCTGGGGGCACAGGGTTACTGGGGAGCGGGCAAGAGCTGAGCTCTCCTGGATCTGGACCCTGGACTGAGTCTCCAAGGCTCATCACCACATACACCTTAGGCTCAGAAGAAGCTCAAGTTGACAGCCATCTCCTCTTTAAAAAGAATTATAAACCCAAATTATTACTTAATAAGTTCTTTTTGCTTCATAAGTAAGCATTGTCATGCCATGAGGGTTTGTGAGCATGAGAGGATAACAGATTCTTGGGCTGAAAAGATCACATCATCCAAACTGAATGATTTCTAAGATTCATTATCTTCATGTCTGGCTCTGAGATTCCAAAATTCCTTGACTCTGGTCAAAGTCAGCCAAGCATGGAGTTGTTCCCTCATTTCCAATACATTGTGATTTCCTTTGCCGTCTTTTCCCCTTGGATTCTGCTTCGAGGCTGTGGTGTTTTGGAAGTTGCTAAGTTAAGCGGCAAGTGATAGCATACCCATGGAATACATATTCAAATATATTAAGTACCCTACTTCCTAGGAAAGTAAATTTTGTCTCTAATAAAGTGTTTTTTTTTTCTTCAAAAGAAAAAACAAATCATTGACGCCACTGATGTTCATGAAGGCTAGGCTGCACCAGAGTTTAATTTTGAGGCGTTGGTACTTTGAATTTACCAATTCAGAGATGTGTCAAGTTATGCTGAAGTTAAATTCGGTTTGTCTTACTTTGATTTACCTTTAACTTCAGTAACAGTATGGATTCAAACTGAGGTTCAGAGAACCCACATTTCCTTCTCAGACTTCCTTGAGAAGATGACACTTCAAAAACTGATTAAAATATATAAAAGTTGCCAATTCTTATTCCTAAGGGTGGGGGAGTACAAAAGGGTGAGGATTTTCTTGTATTCAGTGAATCAACTTGAATTTGTAAGCTCTGTTTTCCACGGCTTGGAACTGGAAACCATTCTAATGTTGGAGAGCATCCTGGGCAGGGTACAGGACACTGCTGTAACAGGCTGAGAGCCGGCACAAATAAGGCAGCCAGACACAGTCCTGGGGTGCACATCTAGAGTGGAAATTGTTCAGGTGTCAAGCATGAAGGATTGTTAAATTTTGTGTTGCCATTCGGAGTCTACAACTAGAGAATTTCCAAAATGCATAAATGAATTTGTGTTTTAAGTGTTAGTATTTTCCTTCTGAACCCCAAATAACACTTTCCAGGATTCTATATTAAAGATTGTACTAATCTGTTCTTATGCTGCTGATAAAGACATACCCTAGACTGGGCAATTTACAAAAGAAAGAGGTTTAATGCCTTTATAGTTCCGCGTGGCTGGGGATGCCTCACATTCACGGCAGAAGATAAAAGACACATCTCACTTGGCAGCAGACAAGAGAAGAGGGCTTGTTCAAGGATACTCCCATTTTTACAACCATCAGATCTCGTGAGACTTATTCACTATCATGAGAACAGCAAAGGAAAGACCCGCCCCCATGATTCAATTATGTCCCACCAGGTCCCTCCCACAACACCTGGGAATTCAAGATAAGATTTGGGTGGGGACCCAGCCAAACCATATCAAAGATCAGCTTTGAAATATGAACCCATTCTGCATGGAAACATGCATGTAGCTTAAACATAGTCATTTAAAGTGGAACAGAAGAAAAGCTGAATTATCACTGTGAAAGTTCAGGAGGCCTCTGGGCCTGAAGGTGAAACCAGAACAAAAAGACAGAACTTTGGGTCAAGGTAATAAGCACCAAGGACTTTACAGAGACCTCCTGGGGAGATGTAGTGACATATCTTTTCAATGAAGCTTGAGAATTGTTCAAAGTTAAGCAGCAGGATCATTTGCATTTCTATACAAGAGGACATTTGTGGGTCCTGTCCTAAGTGAAGTAACTTAGGAATGGAAAACCAAACATCATGAGTGAGTATGTTCTCACTCATAAGTGAGAGCTCAGCTACAATTTCTCATTTTCTAATGTCACTGGTCATCTTTCTCTAAACCAACAAACAGCAAAAGTATTGCTTACCAGTTCTCTTTTCATTGTGATGAAACGTAAATTCCTCCAGCAGGAAGCGGACAGAATGGTTTTCTTGCCTGAGGCACTTTACCTTCCCTCTTACCTGTGAGATCAGAAGAGGATGTTGATTGGAGGGAAAGTGGAAGGAATCATAGCTGGTGGTGAAGAGAACCTCTTGCCACGAAGCTGTCCAAGCAAGCGAAGGTGGGCAGACAGTAAAGGTTGAACACATGAGGGTCACAGCCTGGAGAACAAATAGATTTCAGCCCCTTCATTAATTTGCTGTCTCATACGGTGCATTGCCTAGAACAGATAAGCCTCACTCTGTGGCAGTTGCAAGATAAAGACCTGAAATAGGCACCATGGTGTGGTCCATTGCTCAAGGAGATAATAATGGGAAAAGGGGATTGCCCCAAGTATCAGCAGGGCTGTCTTGGGCTGGCACTTGTTGTTCAGACGTAGCTTTCCCATTGATGCAATCACATGAGTTTGGGCAGTTGTGATGAAAAAGCTAAGGATGGGCAATTACCATCCTCCTATATCAAGAAACATTTAAGCACTTCTGAAACCCAGGTACTTGATTTAAGTTATTTTCTCAGAAGCTATATTGGCTTTACACAAATTCATTAAGTCATACTCCCTAGAGTTCATAATTTGGTGTGTCTCTACACATGGATGTAGAAGGAAAGATTAAGTTATGCCTGAAGTATTGACTTCTCTGTCCTTGGAGACAGCCAGCTCCCCCTGCTGACCTGGTGCTTAATAAAAATACTATAATTTGTTTATGTGCACCAGGGTGTGGTAAGTTTGGGAAATCATGTCTTTCATGACCAGCAAGGGCAGGCATTGAGAAATACTGGCTACTGATGGGTATGCAGTTTGTGGTCATGGGACTGAGAAAGCTAAGATTCCTGACACTTGCCAAGGCTGAGTAGATTTGTGCCTTCAGTACTCAAAGCTCTCATCAGAGACAGAACACTGTATAATCTATCCGTCAGGCAGAAAATGAACTCCTTCTCCATGTTTTGCTGACAATATGTTATTTTCTCTCTGCCATTCTAGAGACTTATGTTCCTCTTTGAGCTAACTTTTCTGCAGGTTTTCTTTCTTGCACGTAATGTTAGCAAATTTGAATATGCTTTCATCAAAGAGTCTCATTCACAGGGTAGATCTATGTATGCAAGGTTTATCTCCTGAAATGGATCAGTATGAATTAGATGTGGGTGGGAGAAGCTGATAAGAAAATGCTCTCAGCTGGGGGAAACGTGGCTGTTAAGCAGCTTCCAAACCGATTTACTCCAGTAACCCAAGCTCTTGCCAGCACGATAGCTGGGACCAACACCTCTGACTTCAGACAAAGACATGCATATTCAGGAACACCACAGCATATAGGATGTGATCTATATCTAAAATTAATGCTGGAAGTGAATAGTTAGATTTTGATACTGAAGACATTGATGAAGCAACTGGAAATACATCTTCTAAGTACAGAGAAATCAATGAGAAGCTGGTTTAGGCTTTTAATCTGCATCTCACACTGGGATGCATTGTGGAGTCCCTCTTGAAGCTGACAAGAATTAGAGCAGTTCTATGAATTACTAATAACTAACCACGATCAAAGCGGGGGTGATTTGGAATATAATTTGTCCCTCTTACTGAGAAATTTTATAAATATTCTGGATAAAGACATCTATTCTATGTAATAGAAAAGATGTTTTAATTAACTTTCATATACACTATTTCATTCTAAAATTCTTGCTATTCAACAAAGTACAGGGAGAAATTTAATAAAGGCTGGCATATTATATATGTATATCCTTTTAAAGCATTTTAAAACTATTTGATATGAAGACAAGGCATTTTTCTGTTTCTGCAAGAAGCAATAATAAAAATTGTTTAAATTTAAATTTATCATTCAGAAAGCTTTATAAGATACCCAGATATGATAACTATTTCCAGTTATAGAAACTTAGGACTGGGGTATAATGTGCATTGCCCAAATTAAAGAAAACAGTGCTAAGAGGGGTTTGCATTAGTCAGAGCTCTCCATAAAAAGCAAATCAATAGGATGTACAAATACATGGAGCTATAGAGAAAGAAATCTATTGTAAGGGATGGACTTGTGCACTTATGGAGGCTGAGAAGTCCCATGATCTGCCATCTGCAAACCGGAGGGCCAGGAAAGCCAGTGGTGGAGTTCTTGTCTAAACCCAGAGTTCTGAGAACCAGGAACACTGAAGCCCAAGGGCAAGAGAAGATGGATGTCCCAGCTCAGGGCGAGCATTTACTCTTCTACACATTTTTATTCTATTCCAGCCCTTGATGTATTTTATGATGCCTACTTATATTGGCAAGGTCAATGGTCTTTACTCCATTTACTCATTAAAATACCAATCTCTTCCAGAAACACCCTCACAGGCACCCTCAGTAATAATGTCTTACCAGCTATCTGGGCATCCTATGGTCCAGTCAAATTGACACACAGAGCTGACCATCATAGGGCCCTTGCCACCTAAGTCACTTTCCAAGCTTCGGCAGGAAGGCAAACTGCATGGGGTCCAGGGAATCCTTCCCACCAAGCCACCGCCCTCACGACTCTCCTGTGTCTTATTTACTGCCGTATTATTGCCTTCCTCGTCTGCCATTCAAGAAAAAATACTATGTTTATTTGTGAAGTAATGTGTTCCTATCAAAAGAGTTCTAGACTCTCTTTTTGTGCGGTGTTTAACAGAGGCCTAGCTATGTGTGTGGGCATGGAGGAGCAATGCAAGCTGACATCTTCACATTGAATGAGAATAGGTTGGACCCACCTCAGCCGCATGTCTCTGGCCTGGATGATGCAGCTCAAGTAATGCCTGACTCACACTTGGCATGAACAGCCAGTGTGGCATGAAGAGCTCCATGAGCTGGCATGAACAGCTTCAAAAAGTCTTCAGCTCCACTCCAAGGATGTTGGTACCGGCGATCTCCCCCACTACGTGCAGAAGGTGAGGAGGAGGTGCTCCTTGGAGCTCTGCCCTTGCCTATGAAGAAGCATCCACATGATGGGAGCGTCCCTCAGAGTGGACCCAGGGTCCAGGCCTTCTGAACAGTGTCTCCATTAGCTTATCATCCTCTCATGACCTTCCTGTCCTCCACTGGCCTTAAGCACATTAGAAGGCATTGTTTCATTAGGAGTATTTTTTAAATAGAAAAGCAGGCACCAGCTCATGTGCTGATATAAATTATAAAATATAAAATCAGGACACAGTTAAAGACCAGAGCGAGTCCCACATAATCTTTCATCTTTGGCAGCCATGTCAACCCACATTAGATTGCCTTGTATATAGTTGATGACAAATACCTGTATGTAGTCTATGATTTGCTGTAGAAGTATACTGTGCTAGACCCTCTGAGGCTGAGGGGCAGGTTTGGGGTCAGCTGGCAGGACTCGGTTCTGTGGTCTCATCATTTGGTCAGTTTGGCCAGGAGCTGTCTTACGTGGATCAGTGTTCTTGTAAAAACATTTTTTAAATAATTCAAATAATCACTCCTGCATAGATAAATATATAACACTCTTCCAGTCTGTAAAGATTTTATAATTTATTGGCAAAGATGAAGACAAATTCCCAAATTAAAAAAAAAAATGCAAGCATCCCAGAGGAAAAATATCCTAAGAGTGATTCAAAACCACCACCACAGCATGAACCCGGGAGGCGGAGCTCGCAGTGAGCCGAGATTGCACCACTGTACTCCAGCCTGGGCAACAGAGCGAGACTCCATCTAAAAAAAAAAAGAATACTCAGAAGCAAGTGAGGTTATGCTCAGCTTAAGGTTCCAGAAAACCTGCTTGGAGTGAGGAGTCACTAGTGGGAAAGAATGGACACAGCCTCTCGAGAGGGGGCTGAGGCCATGGTCAGAGGCTTTGCAGAGCAGACATGATGTGAGCAGCGGTTCAGAGGACAAGGAGGCTTGGCAGGAGTTCCACAAACACAATGTCTCTGCCTCTGGTTTGGCTGAAGATCTGCAAATATCTAAGGATAAAATTGGAGGGCAACCAGGGAAGTTGGAACAGGAGAGCCTTGGATGTCTGCTTGAGCAGTGTTTGCTTTTCAAGTGTTTGGGGTAAAGATGAATGCTATGGTTTGAATGTGTCAGCCACAGTTCATGTGTGGGGAACTTAATCTCCAGTGCAACAGTGCTGAGAGGTGGGACCCTTAAGAGGAGATGAGGCTTTGAGGGCTCTGCCTCATCACTGGACCAATATTATTGCGGGAGTCAATTCCTGATAAAAGTGAGTTTGGCTGCCTCTTGCCTGCACTTGCTCACTGAGTGCTTGTTTGCCCATTTGTCCTCCACCATGAGACGATGCAGCACAGGGCCCCTGCCGGGTGCCAGCACCTTGATCTTGCACTGCCCAGCCTGCAGGGCCAGGAGGAATAGACTTCTGTTCTTTATTAATTAGTCTGTGACATTCTGTTGTGGCAGCACAAAAGGGACTAAGATAGTGAAATAAAGATTCTTGTTAATGGAAGGTTTAGAGAGCAAATGAAATGTCTTCCAAGTAAACAAATTCAATACTTTTTTTGAGTAAACAATAAGAGTATGTGTGTTTGCCATACTGACCTCCCCCACTTTTCAGGCTTGTTATGACTGACCTCAGTTAGAAAGGGAAGCACGAGCTTACAATCTTGGTGTTCGCAGATACTGGGACATGTCCACATAATAGACCCATCTTACAGCTTTGATGGACTTGCCAACTAGAGAATGAACCAGACCCGTGGTTCATCCTCCTCACAGGCACTGGGCAGTCAGGGAGAAATGTGGAATTCTAGTTCCATGCTGTGTGGCTGTTCATAAATATTCCATGTTCACTGGACTTCAAATTCCACATTCATAAAAAAGAGCATGAAACATGTCATTGAAGATTCTCTTAGGCTGAGAATTGACAATATTAATAAACAAATCAGACATATCAATGTTATCAGACTTTAAAAAATTTAATAAAATTTAATAAATCTAAAAGTGAATTTATGTTTTAATTTAATTGTTAACTCAATTTTTAGCAAACATTTTGTGAGGAGGTGCTATTGGCCAGACAATGCGTTAAAAATGAAATATAAAGACAATGAAACTATTTCCTGCTTTTCTTCCACAGAAGATAAGCAGGCAAACAAATGTATTAAAAGCATGATAGGTATTACCACGAATTTATATAAAAGGCACAATAAAGGCCAAGGTGAGATGATAATTTTTATTTTTCTCTTCCTTAATATTTAAGGTTTTCTAAATACCTTTCAGAAAGGGGTTTCTAAACACCTTTAAAGTCCTGTAGTGGAAGGTAGAGGCTGCTACTGAGAGTGAGAAGTTGACGGATAATATTAGTGATTTAAAAAGTAGCAACTAATGCAGCTACACAATATTTCAGTTAAATGTAACTAGTGATTTTTTCCGTTCAAATTTCTGATTATCTTTCAACTTCCCAGCTCTCTATGTACAAGTTGAAATGCTCCAGCAAGGAACTTCCTAGTCATCAAATACGAGGCCCTCATGCCAGGCATTTTGCTGACTTTTCCTTTTTTGGACAGGCCACATTTAAATGCTGTCTGGAGATGTGAATGTCCATAAAATTCTGTTCTCTGTATATGTTTAAGGCCCAATCAAAGTAGACTTTTTTTTTTCTTTTTCTTTTAGCTTTCTAGGTTTGTACTTTTAATTTAACATTAGTGGGACATCTGCAAAGCTAATACAGGCACTTTTCCATGCACTGGAAAACCCAATTAGGACTTGTTCTGAGTTTGATTATCAGTCAGAAACATGCATACAGAAATATTCATTAGAGAGCTACTGAGAGCTGTGATAAAACAGCAGACGGCTGAATTATAGCATTGCTGTCACTCCCCCCCAACACAGTTTACATTTGCTTCATAAAAGACAAGCAACTGAATATCCTCGTGTGATGCGGTGCCCACTGGAAGTGAGTTCCATTATGAAGAGCATTGTTCTGACTCTCTGTAGAATGTTAGTGAGCATCTCATGACATGATATTGCAGACAAATGATAAACTGCAGCCCTGACTACAGCCGTGTGAGGCTGTGTTGATTCACAGCTCTCTCACAGGCATGCTGCATGCTTTAGTTGTGGGCTTTGCCGACTGTCCATGTCCATATGCTACCCAGAGGCAGGTGCAGGTTTACCACCTGGTGTCCTTTATGGAGCCCCTTCAGTGTGATCTCTTTCTACCCTCCTGCCTCAGGATTTGCAATCCTCATCGTGAATTTAGCCTACAGATTAATATAGTATTGTCATTAACTTTGGGTTTGACATGATTTGTTGGAGTAGTCCTAGACATTCTAAGAGGATTCCGAGAGACAGAAAGAAAAGGACTACAGTTTTTTGGTTGGGATGAGAAGCAGGAAGATGAAATGGAGTGAAAGATTCAGGGGCTGCCTAGGATGAGGTTTCTGGGGGATTGGTATGGGGGGCCCTGGGTATTTTAGAGCCAGCGTGAGGACCCTGAGGGAGTGCAGGAGCAAGGGCACACCAGGAAGGGAAGATCAGTGAGTGTCTTAGACTTGCCTTCCCCAGGAACATTTATGTTATCTAGGTTTTAAGGTTATTCACGATGTTTTTCTGAACTTTTTTTTTTGGAATAAAATGATTTGGCAATAATAAAGAGAAGTTGTCTGATTCAGCACACTAAACTAAAGCCTCCATCCAAAAGCTTTTTTTTTTTTTTTTTTTGTCTCACTGAATGTTGGGTTTATAAAGTAGCCTGAGTATTTCTTACTGGGCTTCTTAATTGTCTTCTGCTCCCAATCTGGCTCCCAGGCAACTGAGCATGTGAGGGAATGGCACAAACTTCCTCAAAGCAATCAGAAGAGTAAGCTGTCTTGCTGTCATTGAGCAGTCAGCTAACAGGATCAAAGTCTTCCGAGCAGTTTATTTGAAAGGCATTTGGGTAATTTAGCTTCTAATGGCTTCAATATGTTTGCTATCACAAACTTAAATATGTTATATTTTTAAAATGCAATAAAAGGATTAATACATTTTCATATTTGTTGTTTCATTAAAGAATGGCCATTTCCTGCATAATATGAGAAATAAAATTAAAAGATACAACTTGCAATACAGTACAACAGGGTCTCTAAAATGATTAACTATTTGAGAAAAAACTGCAGTGAAAAGACAGAATTTGTATTTTCTGTAGGAAGTAAATCAGTCTCCACTTATTAGTATAATCTTTCCCATGTGGTGAATAGAAATAATGAAGGGCCTTGTGAGACTGAGATTTCCAAATGATCAATATTGTGATAGGGCTACATCCATGAACTTTAACTATCTCAGCAGGATTCAAGACATTTTATAATAATTTAATTGCTAAACCATATTGCTAGCATATACAGTAATGGTAAAATTATTTCCTCTAGATAGATAGTGAAAGTTTTGTATTAAAGAAAAGGCATTTGACGTGATGCATTTACTTTGTTTGTATACCAGCAGTGCTCTATATAACTTCAAATGCCTTTATATTCTCTTTTGGAAAGACAAAAAAGATGAGCCATTGTTTTTAAAATTTCAATTGAATTACATTTTATTATCAGTATTATTTTTTTCCAAGATAGCAGCATAGGGTTTGAGATTCTCTAGGGAAACAATCTCCCTCCTTGCCTTGTCATTGTTTAGGCAGCATTTTGTGTTTCTTAAAGGAATGTTGGCCTATCCCTTTGTGTCTGCAAGTATTTGTCCCACTGAAATCTGGAATAAAAGGTGAATAAAGTGGAATTTCTATGAAGCAGGTAGAAGTTCCTGATGTTGACCATCAAAGATCAGTCAATCTCTTCATCAAGAGATGAAAATTTGAAAGTGATAACAAGTGGAATAGGAAACACTCTCTCATTCTGGTTCCTGCTCAGATGTTTGGGAGTGGGTCTGAGGTCCATGAGGGTGCTCTGCATGGAGGACACACGACCTCTACTCCATGGAGCAGGTTGAGATTGACTCCTTCCCTGAACTTGTAGGATAACTCAAAATGAGATTGAATCAACTGTATGCATTTTAAAATGTATTAACTCAATCTCACATTGCTCTTTTTGACTTCTATCATTTTAAATAAATCTTTAGTAAAATCTCACATTTTCAACCTAGTCTTGGATGGGAATTAAGGGAAAAGGTATGAGTTTCTGCCAAGCTAGAGCAGTGGTTCTCAACTGGGGAAGAGGAGAAATTAGTAATGTCTAGAAACATTTTTTCTTGTCCTGTCTAGAAGAGAAGGATGGGTGGTATCTAGAGGGTTGGACAACAAATAATTATCCAGCCTCAAATGTCAATAGCACCAAGGGTGAGAACCCCTGGTCTGGAGTGCTGAACAAAAGAGCATTATTTACTGAATTCAGCTTGTTTTTCATTGATGACAGCAGTAGTTAGTAAGGGATTCCCAAGGAGAAAGTAAATTTTAAGAGATGAGAAGAGTACAGATCTTTCTTGTTTGAATATTTTTTCCATGTGGTCTTGCTATAAAATATAGGCATTTAAATGATTTTTTTACAAGGTTATAAAGTCTTTTAAGAATGGCCTGGACGTAAAGGCATTTTGAGCCTGGTTATTAACAGTAATCTTACCAGCTTTCAAAGAGTTGATTTCACTGTTGTACAGGTAGAAACTAAATTCATAAAGTTGTTCTTACTGAGATTCAGGGAGGGTACATTGGACATTGCTCTGGGCCAGTGTCTGTGCTAAGAACTTTATAGATAATCTCATGCAAGTCTCCAAACAAACCTTCAAAATAAGAAGTCATTTTTCTTTTAGGAAGAAGAGGTAACAGAGGCTCAGACTAAGTAATTTTTCCAGGGTCTTGAAGCTTGAGCATATAGATCTGAAATACCCCTTTCTCTGTCCCCTCATGTTTCATCACAACCCCATGGTCACTGGTATTATTAAGTCCAGTTGTGACCTTGAAATCCCGCAGAGTATCTACCATCCCTTCCAGCTTCTGCATATAGGACAGCTAATAGGTTGAAGTCAAGGCTGAACATTCCTTTTGTCTCTATTAAGTTTCAGGGTCAGACAGTTGTTCTTTTATCCAGCCTCATTTCCTCCTCATGAAGCTTTCTTCTGGCCATGCCCCTCCTATAATGGGAAACCACATGGGTACCATGCCCCATCTGAGGCCAGAGTGTGGGGTCCCTCAGAGTCCACCAGGAATATTATGTCCCTTGATGAGCAGACTATGTGCTTTTATTACCAAAGACTGATACGGGAAGCCAAGTTATTAATGATGCTCCTGGTCTTTGATGACCTCAAAATATCTAAAGTGCTGCTAAGTAAAGCTGTCACACACAGACACACACACACACACACACACACACACAGACACACACAATGTAACATAATAATTAGATTTTTGTACACTTACAAGTATATAAAATATTTTATTTGTTTTATTTCTAAAATAATCTTTGCCTTTCTAGGTCATTCTTTATTGTATGTGTTTAAGGTGTATAGTATGATATTTTGGTACATATGCAGAGAGTGAAATGATCACTACTGTCAGGCAAATTAATGCATCCATTATCTCACTCCCTTAGCAAGTTTTCAGCACACAATATAATAATATTGTTAATTATAATTCACATACCCCACAGCAGACCTCTAGACCTATTCATCCCACATAGCTGCAAGTCCGTACACAATGACCTACATCACCCCATTTTCTCCCCCTCCTCACACCTGGTAATCACTATTTTTATTCTCCACTTTTTGTGTTCAACTTTTTAAAAAAAGTCATGTATGTGTGAGATTACACAGTACTTTCTTGTATATAACTAGCTTATTTCACTTAGCACAATGTCCTCCAGGTCCATCAATGTTGTAGCAATGAGAGGATCTACTTTTTAAGGCTGTGTAATATTCCATGGTATATATAAACCATGATTTATTTATTCACCTATAGATGTACACTTAGGTTGTTTCCATATCTTGGCTATTGTGAGTAATGCTGCAGTGAATGTGGGGATGCAGATATCTTATGAGGTGCTGATTTTATTTCCTTTGAGTGTATACCCAGAAGACGAATGGCTGAACCATGTGAGAGTTCTATTTTTAGTTTTTTGGGATATCTCCATCCTGTTTTCCATAAAGGCTGCACCGATTTACGTTCCCACCAACAGTGTAAAAGGACTTCCTTTTCTCTACACCCTCTCCAAAACCTGTTAGCTTTCATCTTTTGATGGCCGTCATCTGAATAGGTGTGAGCTAGTATCTCATTGTGGTTTTGATTTGTATTTTTCTGGTGATTAGAGATGTTAAGCACCTTTGCATATATCTGTTGGTCATTTTTATGTCTTCTTTAGAAAAATGTCTATTTGGATCCTTTGTTCATTTTTTAATCAGGTTGTTGTTTTTTCCTGTGAAGTTGTGGGAATTCTTTTTATATTTTGGTTATTAGGCCTTTATCAGATATATCATTTGCAAAATTTTTCTCTCAATCCATAGGCTGCCTTTTTGTTTACAATTTTTTTCCTTTGCTTTGGAGAAGCTTTTTAGTTTGATGTGGTTCCACTTATTTATTTTCATTTTTGCTGCCTGAGCTTTTGGTGATATATCCCAAAAATCATAATTAAGGAGATTTTCCCTTATGTTTTATTCCAGGAGTTTTATGATTTCAGGTCTTGTGCTTAGGTCTTTATTCCACTTTGAGTTGATTTTTGTGTATGGTGTAAAATAAGGGTCTAATTTTATTCTTTTGCATATGGATATCCAGTTTCCAGTTTTCCCAATAGCATCTATTGAAGAGACTGCCATTTCACCGTTGTGTCTTCTTGGTAGGCTTGTCAAAAATTAGTTGACTATATATTCTTGGGTTTATTTCTGGGCTCTCTACTCTGTTCCATAGGTCTATGTTTTTGTTTTTATTTCAGTACCATACTGTGTTGGTTAATATAGCTTTTAAATATAATTTGAAATTAGAAAATGGGAGGTCTCCAACTTTGTTTTACTTTCTCAGGATTTCTTCGGTTATTTTGTAATTCCACATACAGTTAAAAATTTTCTTTTCTGGCAGGGTGTGGTGGCTCATGCCTGTGAGACCAAGCCAGGTGGATCACCTGAGGTTGGAAGTTTGAGACCTGTCTGACCAACATGGAGAAATCCTGTCTCTACTGAAAATACAAAAAATTACCTGGGCATAGTGGCGCATGCCTATAACGCCAACTGCTCAGGAGGCTGAGATAGGAGAATTGCAGGAAACTGGGAGGTGGAGGTTGTAGTGAGTCAAGATCATGCCATTGCATGCCAGCCTGGGCAACAAGAGCAAAACTCCATTTCCAAAAAAAAAAAAATTCTACTTTTGTAAAAAATGTTGAATGTTGTTCAAATTTTGATAGAGATTACAATGAATCTGTGTGTTATTTGGGTAGTATAGGCACTTTAATAATATTAATTATTAAAATTCATAAATATGAAATATATTTTATTTATTTATTTATTTATTTATTTATTTTTTATTATTATACTTTAAGTTTTAGGGTACATGTGCACATTGTGCAGGTTAGTTACATATGTATACATGTGCCATGCTGGTGCACTGCACCCACTAACTCGTCATCTAGCATTAGGTATATCTCCCAATGCTATCCCTCTCCCCTCCCCCCACCCCACAACAGTCCCCAGAGTGTGATATTCTCCTTCCTGTGTCCATGTGATCTCATTGTTCAATTCCCACCTATGAGTGAGAATATGTGGTGTTTGGTTTTTTGTTCTTGCGATAGTTTACTGAGAATGATGATTTCCAATTTCATCCATGTCCCTACAAAGGACATGAACTCATCATTTTTTATGGCTGCATAGTATTCCATGGTGTATATGTGCCACATTTTCTTAATCCAGTCTATCATTGTTGGACATTTGGGTTGGTTCCAAGTCTTTGCTACTGTGAATAATGCCGCAATAAACATACGTGTGCATGTGTCTTTATAGCAGCAAGATTTATAGTCCTTTGGGTATATACCCAGTAATGGGATGGCTGCGTTTTGCAACCTACTCATCTGACAAAGGGCTAATATCCAGAATCTACAAAGAACTCAAACAAATTTACAAGAAAAAAACAAACAACCCCATCAAAAAGTGGGCAAAGGACATGAACAGACTCTTCTCAAAAGAAGACATTTATGCAGCCAAAAAACACATGAAAAAATGCTCACCATCACTGGCCATCAGAGAAATGCAAATCAAAACCACAATGAGATACCATCTCACACCAGTTAGAATGGCAATCATTAAAAAGTCAGGAAACAACAGGTGCTGGAGAGGATGTGAAGAAATAGGAACACTTTTACACTGTTGGTGGGACTGTAAACTAGTTCAACCATTGTGGAAGTCAGTGTGGCGATTCCTCAGGGATCTAGAACTGGAAATATGAAATATATTTTCATCCATTCATCTTTCAATTTTTTCATTAATATTTCATAGTTTTTAGTGTACAGATTTTTCACTTTCTTGGTTAAATATATTCATAAGTATTTTATTCTTTTTGATGATATTCTATGTGGTACTGTTTTATTGATTTCTTCTTCAGATAGATTATTGTGGGTGTAAGGAATGCAACTAGGTGGCTCACGCCTGTAATCCCAGCACTTTGGGAGGCCAAGGTGGGCAGATCACTTGAGGTCAGGAGTTGAAGACCAGCCTGGTCAACATGGCGAAACCCCGTCTCTATTAAAAATACAAAAACTAGCCGTGCGTGATGGCAGGCAGCTGTAATCTCAGCTAGTTGGGAGGCTGAGGCAGGAGAATCGCTTGAACCCCGGACGCAGAGGTTGGAGTGAGCTGAGATTGTACCACTGCATTCCAGCCTAGGTGACAAAGTGAGACTCTGTCTTAAAAAAAAAAAAAAAAAGGAAAAGGGATGCAACTGATTTTTGTATGTTGGTTTTGTATCTTCTACTTTACTGCATTCATTTATTAGATCTAATGGGTTTGGGTGAAGTCTATAGGATTTTCTACACATAGGATCAAGTCATCTAAACAGAATATAGGTATAGATATGGATATAGATTCAGCTGGGTGTTCAGCTTGAGAAAGGCATGAAAATACCTGTGAGGAATTCTATTTGTTATGTGTTTGGAGGGAAGTTAATAAGGTAAAGGCTACATGCATCTTCATGTTTGTTATTGCATAACTTTACTTTTTAATTTGTTAAACTTATTTGATTTCAGCTTATTGTTCCGAGCCAAACCTCTTGAATTTGAGTCTTAACTCATCAATTTTCAGCCCTTCTTTTACAATGAAAACATCCAGAATTATAAATTTTCCACTATGAACTTCTTCAGTACTTCCCACAAATTTGATATATAGTATTCTCTGTATTTTCCTTATTTAAATTTTCCATTATTTCCTTTGACTCATGAATTATTTGAAAACATATTTTTGAATTTGCCATGTTTTTAGAGTTTATTTTATATTATTGCTTTTTAATTTAATTGCTTTTTCAGATAATTCGTTCTATATAGTATTGATTTGTGTGTCTTAAATGTTATTCTTGCCCACTATTTTAATTCCATTGTGTTTTTAATCCACAAAATTAGTAATTGTCATTTTAATTTTGTAAAGTCAGAGTTTGTTTATATTTACCCATATGTTTGCCATTTCTTTTTCTTTCTTTTTTTTTTTGGTTCACTCCCATTTTCTTCTGACATTGCAGCTTTTTCTTTGGTATCAATTTTTATCTTCCTGATGTACATTCATTAAATATTCCTATGGTGATAGTTTACTTGTATTGAATACTTTTAGTCTTTTAAAGTTTGTTAGAAAAATGTGTTAGTTTGGTTTTATGGATTGCATATATTAGATAACTAATAAATACTCTAACAAATGTGTGTGTGTGTCTATTTTGGTACACATTTTTATATAAGCATGTAAATGTGTATGTTTGTATATATCTTTCCTCTAAGCGTGCATTGTTGATATCAACTCTTTAGAGTGAACCAAACACCAATTAATTCAAGAGATACCTGCTAAACCCACACTATGGGCTGCGCTAGGCCCTATTCTGAAGATTCAAAGATTAAATTTAGTTCTGACCCTTGCAAATTTCCCAGAACCATGTGAAACACTGCATGAGAAAGGTATTCACAGTGGACTCTGCGAGCCATGGGAAAGTTTTCTAACTATGTTGGAAGAGAGGAGGTCATATGAAAGCTTTTTGGAAGGTGATGTTGGTATAGATTCATGAGGAATTAATAAGAATTTGTCCAGATGGAGGAAGGAGGAAAGAAGAGAAGTTAATGTGTGCAAAGGCACATTGGCATGGAGGAGCGTGCAGTGCTGTGGGACTGGGAGACATTGTGGCTTAGAGAGATGGAGATGCTCAACTGTGGCTGCTACTAATACCCTGCTGCTGCTCCTGCTGCTAAAAAAGACAGTGGATGCTGAAAACTTACTACACAACAGGAAGTGGTTATTTTGTTTAATCACTGACCTTTATCTAAGAAAATGCCTTTAAGACAAGTGCAATTGCTATTCTGATAATTTTACAATGAGAAAACCAAGATTTAAGAGAAGGGTAGCATCGATTTGCATTTCTGTAAAGGAATACCCAAGGCTGGGTAATTTATAAGAAAAGCAGGTTTTTTTTTTTTTTTTTTTTTTGGTTTTTGTTTGTTTGTTTGTTTGTTTTGCTCGTGGTTCTGCAGATTGTACAAGAAGCGTGGCGCTGGAATCTGTGTCTGGTGAGACCTCAGGGAGCTTCCAATCATGACAGTAGACTAAGGGAAGTCAGTGCATCACAGGGTGAGAGAGGGAGCAACAGAGAGAGGCAGAGGTGACAGACTCTTTTAAATAACCAGATGCAGTGTGAACTCATTACTACAGGGAGGGCAACAAACCCTTCATGAAGAATTTGCCCCTATGACCCAAATACCCCTCACCAGGCTCCACCTCCAACACTGGGATTACATATCCACATGAGATTTGGAGGGGACAAACTTTCAAACTGTATCAAGTAGGTAATTATTCAAAGCCATAGAACTTATGTGTGTTAGAATTATCCCCTACTGACCACATAAATCAAGCCCATCCTTGAATTTTGGCTTGGACGGCATCTCTGCTGAGACTCTCTGCATTCGCAGATGGTGTTAGGTGCCCTGCCTGTGGACTGTAAAGGCACCTTACTGAATCCTGAGCTCTGTCATGGAAACCTATTTCTGTCCTAAGTATCTACTTCCTCAGCTGCCTTTCTTATTAGCCCACAACCCCACAAGGCAGAAATTCTTTTCCCCAAGAAATTAAACATATGTGATGCAAGACAGTGATCAATGTACAATTGGGAGAATGAATGGACGAGTTAGTGAGTGCCATTGCCCTGTTGCAATGTAGCATGCTTCAGGATATGAGGAAAAAGAAGCTGGGGAAGAAGTGAAGGATCAAGTCATGAAATGTTTTATGTCATGCTAAGTTCCTAATTATTGCGTACAGAATGCCATGGGAAGCCACTGAATGATGCCAAGCAGGACAGGTGCATGATCAAATCTGTGATGCAGGAAGATTACTCAGGTTATGTCTAGATAGAATGGAAGAAAGGGCATGTCAGAGAGGCCAATTAAGGTTTGACTGCAATAATAAGGTGAGAAACAATGAGGCTAAAATAAGTCACTTTGGTGGTTAATTTCATGTGTCAACTCCACTGGGTCATGGGTTTCCCAGACATTTAAACAAACATTATTCTGGGTGTTTCTGTGAGAGTTTTTTTGAGTGAGGTGAATATTTGACTTGATAGATTATGTAAAACGGATTGGCTCTCTAATGTGGGTGGAAAACATCTAGTCATTTGAAGACCTGAATAAGACAAAAATGCCAATCCTCCCCCAAGTAAGAAAGAAGTCCTCCTATCCTGCTTTGAACTGGGACATCAGCTTTCTCCTGCCTCAGACTCCAACTGAAAAGTCAGCTTTTCCAGGTCTGGAGCCTGCTGGCCTTTGGAATGGAGCTTACAACATTAGCTCTCCCGGCTCACTGAATCACCCTGTAGCTCTTGGGACTTGTCAGTCCTCCTAATCATGTGAGCCAAATTTTTATTATCTATCTATCTATCTATCTATCTATCTATCTATCTATCTAGTTAGCTATCTATCATCTAGCTATCCATCCATCATCTATGTATGTATGTATGTATTTATCTGTCTGTCTGTCTATCTATCTATCTATCTATCTATCTATCTATCTATCTATCTATATCTTTCATTGGTTCTATCTCTCTTGAGAGCTCTGACCAATACAGTCACTAATGGTGGGGAATGGATAGGTAAGGTCCTATTGAAAAGATGTTGAAGAAACAAATTCATCACCATGATTGTCCATGGACACGGATGGAAATAGATGCACAGAAAACTATAGGTTTCTGAACTGGAAGATTGAGTGAATGGGATGTGGTGCAGTAAGCTAGGAAAATAAGAAAAGGTGCAAGTTAATAGTAAGTAAGTGGAAGCTTCCATTTTACACATCTTCATTCTAACGATCCTGCAGGATATGTAGGCAAAAGATATTTAGATAGCTACTCAGGCTGACTTTGAAATGCAACATCAGTTCTACCAATAAGGGCTTCAGCTCCTCTTTTGTGAAATTAGATTACAAGGAGAATGGAACAGGATCCTCATCTCTCAGCTCAAGTCAACTCAAAGCTGGATTAAGGACTTAAACCTAAAACCTGAACCTATACAAATTCTAGAAGATAACAATGGAAAAACCCTTCTAGACATTGGCTTAGGCAAGGATTTTTATGACCAAGAACCCAAAAGCAAATGCAATAAAAACAAAGACAAATAGCTGGGGCCTAATTAAACTAAAGAGCTTTTACACAGCAAAAGGAACAGTCAGCAGAGTAAACAGACAACCCACAGAGTGGGAGAAAATCTTCACAGTCTATATATCTAACAAAGGACTAATATCCAGAATCTACAACGAACGCAAACAAATCAGTAAGAAAAAAAACAAACAATCGTGTCAAAAATTGGGCTAAATACATGAATAGACAATTCTCAAAAAAAGATATACACATGGCCAACAGACACATGAAAAAATGCTCAACATCACTAATGATCAGGGAAGTGCAAATCAAAACCACAGTGAAATACCACCTTACTCCTGCAAGAACGGGCATAATCAAAAAATCAAAAAACAGTAGATGTTGGCATGGATGCAGTGATCAGGGAGCACTTCTACACTGCTGGTGGGAATGTAAGCTAGTACAGCACTATGAAAAACAGTGTGGAGATTCCCTAAAGAACTAAAAGTATAACTACTATATACTTAGTAGTAGAACTACTAGATACTTGCACATACATGTTTACAGCAGCACAATTCGCAGTTGCAAAATAGTGGAATCAACCAAAATGCCCATCAATCAATGAGTGGATAAAGAAACTGTAATATATATATATATACACATACATATATATACACACACACATATATATATACATATATACACATATATATACACATATATATACACATATATATATATGCATACACACACATACACTCACATTGGAATACTACTCAGCCATAAAAAGGGATGAATTAATGGCATTTGCCATGACCTGGATGAGATTGGAGACTATTATTCTAAGTGAAGTAACTCAGGAATGGAAACCCAAACACTGTATGTTCTCACTGATACGTGGGAGCTAAGCTATGGGGATGCAAAGGCATAAGAATGATACAATGGACTTTGGGGACTGTGGGGAAAGCTTGAGGGGGTGCAAGGGGTAAAACCTATAAATATGGTGCAGTGTATACTGCTCGGGTGATGGGTGCACCAAAATCTCACAAATCACCACTAAAGAGCCTACTCATGTAATCAAACACCACCTGTACCCAATAACTTATGGAAAAAAAGAAATCAGATTACTGAACAAAGACAATTCTACTATAAAATTGTAAAATTGTACAATAACTTGTAATAATAAGTATGATTTCATTTGGTATTTTATATAACTAATTTACCTAGTAAACTTTATGATGTATAAATGAGCTTTGGCAAGAAATAGAGGAATGTCATTATGACTGGGGAAGTATCAGACAAATAAGAATAAAGACATTGCAGGGAAGAGATATTACCCTGAGATACTGGTAGGCTGAAGATGCGAACAGGTATCTTTCATATAACCAGATGTGTAACAAAATGGCCAAGAAAGCAGGGGGAACTAGGTGTTCTCCAGGCATGCTGTTCATACCAGAGGCTTCATGCAGATAAAGAGATAAAAGGATGGTGAAGAAAACGTGCCACTCCCATTATTCTGATGTTGTCTTCAACATCAACCATCTTGTTATTACTCACAACATATTTGCTATGCCTGGGGTCCTATCTTTTGCTTTCTTCTCACTCTCCCTTAGAAATTTCACTTCTTCCCATGTCTTTCAGTTGCCCACAGCACTTTCTTAACACATGCTGATCACATGGCATTGTGACGTGAGCAATTCTTACCCTTACCTGAGCTGTGTTGTGAGGGAGACGAGGGCTGCCTTGACTCTTCTTTGTACCTGAACATCTGTCACAGGGTCCATAGTGGAACTGGTTCTTGGTAACTTCTTGTTGAATAAGTTGTATGAATAATTAAAAGCATTGTATGATAAGCTGTTAAAGAGGGATGAAAAGATTACATCACAGTTTTACAAAGAGAGGGCTTATGTCTTAGACTACCCTACCTTGTGATAAAAAATAATAAAAGTTTAAGGGCCAAAAATGTTGCTTTCCCTAATCCTGTCTGGACTGTAGAAATCCTAAAGTAAATTTTACAGTGTATTCTCAACTTACTGTGAAGCAACATGAGGTTAAAAATGGTTTTAGGGGCCGGACGCAGTGGCTCACGCCTGTAATCTCAGCACTTTGGGAGGCCGAGGCGGGTGGATCACGAGGTCAAGGCATCAAGGCCAGCCTGGCCAACATGGTGAAACCCCGTCTCTACTAAAAGTACAAAAAAATTAGCCGGGCATGGTGGCAGGCGCCTGTAGTCCCAGCGACTCGGGAGGCCGAGGCAGGAGAATCACTTGAACCTGGGAGGTGGAGCTTGCAGTGAGCCGAGATTGCACCAGTGCACTCCAACCTGGTGACAGAGCAAGACCCCGTCTGAAAAAAAAAAAAAGTTTTAGGTAAAAACAAAAGCAAACCATAATTATGGTGGTAAAAAAGAAAAAAGTTATTCAGAAATTGTTGAGGGAGAGAAAAAACATGATATTTAGGAATTACTATTGATATTTTATTTAGAATACTCAATTGGAAAGAACATGATTCACTTTAGCTAGTTAAAGCAAAAAAAAAAAAAAAAGTTTATTAAACAATATAAGTTAGTACTTGGAATCTCCAGGACAGCCAGAATCTGAATTCACAAACAATGTCCACTACAACAGAGGGGTTCCTCTCCTGGAGACACCCCTTCCCCAGCTTCTTGGCACATGCCAGTTAGGACTGGATGTCATAAGCTCAGCATGGCACCCCTGGAAAACTGACAGCCTCTGTGAGGACTTCACAGAACCAGTTTTTTCTCGTGTGGCTTCTATGTACTCTGGGCTCACGCAGGAGGGCGTGAGTGATAGCTTCTGTGTCATTCGATTACACCCTATACTTAACGGAGTCTGGGCTTTTCACTTGGAAAGATCAAACCTATATGAAATTTCCAAAATCTTGGGAGAAGTTTCAATCCTATTGAGAGACCACAAATAATAAACGCCAGAGTGACCTTAGAGTTTTTTAAGTCCCAGCTTGATCTCACATCTAGGATCTATTATTTACTATGTTTCCTTTTAGAAATCATTTAACTATCACAAATCTCATGCTTCTCATCTATAAAATAGGAATAGTGACATATCTCCTGCAAAGAACTGTGGCAGAAATTGGTCAGTAATGCTGACTACACGGCAAATGCTTGCTCAACATGTGTTGAATCAACATCCATCCCACCCACTTTATCTTTTGGGGAAATATCGAGGTTTGCCGTCACTTCCAAAGTGCTTTTGGCAGACGTCCTCCAAATTACCAGGGAATTTGGATGTCCACAGCCACCCCCAGAAATAATTTTATTGGTTTATAGGTGTCTGTTTTTTGTTTGTTTATTTGTTTGTTTTAGTTCCCCAGATGGTTTAATGTGCACCAATGTTGAGCACTACTGGCTTCTTGTCTCTGTTCTACCTACCCATCAGCCTTGCTTAACTAGGGTTCTGGGAAAGAATTGAACCCTACAAAACACAACTTAAATGATCACTATCTTAATTTTCCCAAAGACGATATATAGAAAAGAATATCTAGTACCCGGAAATATATGAATTCATTACTTACAAAGGATATCTCAGGGTAGGCGAATGAATTTTTTAGTGGAGAGAGATGATGTTTCTAATTACTGAAAGGTATGTCAAGGACTAGTGGTGAGTTGGTAGCCTGGCTCCCCACTGGAGGAAAAAAGGCCCTGAGCGGTTGCATCTGCTGCTTTCTGTGGTATAAATGCTCCCATCATGTCTGATTTCAACCTACCAACTATTTATGAACTGGCTTACAAAATTTCCGAGTAGTTAAAAATTAACATCGACAAGCTGGTCTCCCAAATTGACAGGACCTGCCTCCAGCGCATCATATATTTTTTGAGAAATTTGTTGATTGAGTCTACAGATAACATGCCAGGAAACTATTTTTTGAAGCCATTTTGCTGTGGCTACTCTAAAAGCAACTAAGGTATATGTTTCATACCAATTTCGTCTGGAAAAGGGCAGCTGGACCAGCTTTTAAGATCTCTTCCAAGCCTGTAATACCATAACCATCACCTGGAGAGGAGTGGGTTACCAGGTCAAGACAAAAAGAAGCCCTAAAATTGTGCGTAAAGAATCTTTAAAATAATTCTGTACATCACAGGGTGAGGAAAACCAAACCTAAAAATTAGAAGATATGATACTACTTCTGTTTCTACAATCCTAATTCAAAGCAAGGAAAAGTGTGCAGAGTAGAAACAGCTGCAACTTCCTCCCCTTTAACTTAACAGAAACACCCACGTTCAATAGACTCAATAGTTTATTTAAGTTCCTTAGAACATATGGTGAACTCTTGAATCACCCCCACACAAATATAGATGGCATAATAAGTTGAAGATCTGAAAAAGTATTACAGGATATTAAAAATAGGGATTAAAAACCACGTGCCTTGAAAAATCAACATGCCATATGAACAACATAGAACTTTGAGGATGTTCAGCTTATGAAAAAGCAGACCCCAGAATGCATCATTATCTTCTTTAAGTAATTGTTGTGAATGAGCCTAAGGACTGTGGAAATGGTCGCGAACACTGGGAAACGTTTGTGTTTAAACATGAGGATGGGCTTTTCTGAAACTGTCTTGGAAGAGGGCAAGCATTCTGGCAGAGACTGGAAAACACTTGGTGATATTGTAGAAAGGATTTCGGTATTACATGAGAGGAGCCTAAACTGAATGGCTTCTTAGAACCTTACCAATTCTAATGTTTCATGATGCTGTTAGTCATGAAACATATAAGTGAATCAGCTGATATTAGGTAGAAATTTTTTATTTCTCTATGAACACAAATTGTGGGTGAGATTTGAGCAGATGACCTTAATTACTTGCTTTATAAGTGCCTTTGACACGAGGGGTATTTTTCATCACCACCCAGCGGGGGAAGGAAGCCCATGTGCTTTGACAGCCCTCAGGGGAGGGGGAAGTGTGCCCTGAGCAAGAGCCAGCCTCACAGTGTGGAAAAGCCAGCCTCACAGTGTGGAAAAGCCAGCCTCACAGTGTGGAAAAGCCAGTCTCACAGAGCTCCTACCTCAAACTCCACACCACAGAATGTATTTGACCAGAAATACTCTACTCAAGTATTGTTAGAATAAAGACACATGCGCACACATGTTTATTGCAGCAAAATTCATAATTGGAAAAATATGGAACCAACCTAAATGCCCATCAACTGAGTGGATAAATAACATGTGATATATATATATATTTATATATATTTTATGATATGATACATATATATCATACACACACATATGTCATATATATATATACACACACACACACTATGGGATACTACTCAGCCATAAAACAAAATGAAATAATGGCCTTTGCAGCAACTTGGATGGATTCGATGGAGCTGGAAGCCATTATTCTAAGTGAAGTCTCTCAGGAATGGAAAACCAAATATAAGTGGGAGCTAAGCTATGAGGATGCAAAGGCATAAAAATGATACAATGGACTTTGGGGACTTGGGGGGAAGTGTGGGAGGGAGGTGAGGGATAAAAGAGTACATATTGGGGGCAGCATATACTGCTGTGGTGATAAGTGCATCAAAATCTCAGATATCACCACTAAAGAACTCTACCATGTAACCAAAAACCACACGTACCCCCAAAAAATTGAAATAAATTTTTAATACAGCAAGTAGGATTTTTAAAGCACCATTTGTAAATGGGAGCGAGGCACTCCCCTGTGCTCCTCCACATGGATGTGTGGACTCATGGCCATCTGTGGCTTGTATTCCCCAAGGAAGAAGTTGCTGGGTCAGGAACAGGAGGAGAGCTCGTGCACTCTCTGTTCTGATGACTGTTCCTGGACTCTTCCTGAACTTGGCCAGTTTTCTAGAGCTTGACAACATTCCAAGACCACCCGCAGTCACGGTTAATGAAATGGAGATATACTGATGGATGCTTTCATCTCTTTAGAAAGCCTTCATCTCACTGGGGCTCAGTGGATTCTGCAATGGCTTTCCAAGTGTTATCAGATATTTTACTTTAGTAAATTAGAAGCATATGGAATCATAAGACAATAAAAAGAGATCCTCCCTAAACCAGTTGACTTCTTCTCCAACCCCACAGCATTGCGCAGAGAGGAGCGTTCAGCTTGGTAAGTTTCACCTTTCAGGTAAGTATGACATCATTGTGACCAGAATTTAGCTAAAAAGGGGAAATATTGAATGGAACATATTTCTGTGTGAAATGGCTGTCTCAGATATTGAGAAGTAGGCATTCTGATAGATACTGCTCTTACTCTATTAGTTTATTTATTTATTTATTGAGACGGAGTCTCACTCTGTTGCCCAGGCTGGAGTGCAGGGGACCCATCTCAGCTCACTGCACCCTCTGCCTCCCAGGGTTCGAGCGATTTTCCTGCCTCAGCCTCCTGAGTAGCTGGGATTACAGGTGTCTATATTTTTAATAGAGACAGGGTTTCACCATGTTGGCCAGCCTGGTTTTGAACTCCTGATCTAAAGTGATCCGCCTCCCTCAGCCTCCCAAAGTGCTGGGGTTGCAGGCATGAACCACTGCAAGAGGCCCCTTTTAGTTTAAATCCACCGCATATCTCATTCCAGATAAAAGTGGTCACTGGGCATCCTCACAGAACTGTCTTCTTTTCTCACGTGGTCTTTGGTATGTTCACATCCCAGTTCCCTTGAATCCTCCTCTGTCATGGCATCTTCTTAGGTTGTTCATGGCCCATTATTTTTGCCTATATTACCTCTGTAAACTATCCTTGGTATCTGGTCATTTCTTTGTGTTAAAACGTTTTCTCTCTGGAAGGACAGTACCAGTATACAAATATGTAGCATGGGAGGGAGAACGTATTTGGAAGGTAAACAGCAGTTTATCACAGCACATTTATACTGCACTTCAAAAAGACTTGCTAGTCGATGGAAGTACCACTCACTGGCAAGTTAGAAGGGATGTGGATCTTCTGCCTTGGTTTTCATTTAAGCTTTTCTGCTCTACTCTGGCTTTAACTTTATACATACATACACACACACACACACACACATATGTTTATATATATATATATACACACACATACATATATACATATATGGGCTCCTCCCAATACTTTAAAAGAAAGTCTTGTTTTTATGTTTTTTAAATAAAAATATAATTTTTTGGTTAGATTAGCCAGCCTCAGAATGTTGTACTGGAACACTGAATCCCATTGCTCAAAAAGGTGCCCTCTAAAGTTTCACAGAATAAATTAGAAAAAATAACGTTTAGAGATGGGAGGGAGGGATTTGCTGTATCCTTCAGTGAGTTGATGGTAGAGCCAAGACCAATATGCCTGCCACCTTATTCCTAAATATTGGGTTGAGTTGGCTATTTTTGGGACTCAAGCACACTCTAGACACTATGTCCTGAAGATGGGTAATCTCTGAATTTTGACTTAATGCTCCTTTCAAAGAAATATGTGAATAAGTCATCATTTTAATATATTATGATTAGTATGAAGTGGAGGTATGTACTCTTTCCTAGGGAAAGACCAGGACAGATACAACTCAGTAGAGGTGTGAGTGGGAGGTAGTCCAGGAGCGCTCATTAGCTGGAATTTTAAGTTGGAATTTTAAAGAATAAGATTTAACCAGACAGCCAATTAGTGAGTCACTGTGTGTGTGTGTTGCGGTGGGAGAGGGAGGAAGAAAGATATTTCCAGCAAAGGAATCAGAGCATGATAAACACTTTTAACATCACTTTTAAATTTAAACAGAATTGATCTTCAGCCTTGAAGTGCAAGGTTTTTCTCTCTTTTTACCTTCAATGTTTGCATGGAATTTTTTCTTTTATTATTATAGTGAAAGAAGAATGGCATGAAATATATTTGATCCATTTGACTGGACCTAAATGAACGTCACTGCATCATACAACTAGAGTGAGGGGCAACCAACAACTTTCAGAAAATAAATTTTATCTATAGGAGATAAAAGAAAACTAACATGAGAATCTCTTTAAAAATAAATAATAATAACAATTAAAAACTCTTTCTTCTCCTTTTTTATCACAGAAAGAACACCTAAGTGGGAAAGTTTTCTGGATAAAGGAAATTTACAAAAATTCTGAAAAATCAAATAACAATATTGAAAAAATGAGCACTGTGAAAAGTTTGGGGCAAAAACGAAAAATGGGCTAAGTAAACTGCAGAATTGATATCTTCCCTTGAAACGTTTCAGGGTATTTGATTTTTATGTAAAAAAGACATAAACAGCCAAGAAAAGGAAGAATATTTGTGCATATAAGTTATTGTCTCTTACTTTCTTTAAGATAACATATAAATTATGTCTTGCATTAACAATGGAGCAGCACAATCTGTATTTCCCATCAGTAATTTTGTTGTCGCAACCTGATTTGCCAAGTTGCTTATGGAAGTGCAATTTAGGTATCTCCTCTCCATAGCATTTAGTCAATCATTACACTGCCCATTTTATCTTGATGTAATTAACACTGTATTAATACTTTTTGCAGCATAGTATCAAACCTCAAAATCGTTGTGATTTACCATAACAAATGTTCATTGTCTTGCTCTGCCTCTGTGGCTCTACTGTTGCTTTTCTGGTCTTGCCTGAGGTGGGCTGGTCTTGGTCCCAGGCTATGTGTTAGGTTCAATCTGCTACATATGCCTGTGTTTTTCTTGGTCCAGCAGCTACATGGGCATCCTCATCCAATGCCTGACCGCAGGTGTTAGGGAGGTCAAGCCAAAACAATCAAGCATCTTTAAAGCTTCTATTCAAGAAAACATCTGCTAATACTGCATAAGCCACAAACCCACATCAACGGCATGGAGAAATAGACTTCACCAGTGTAGTGTAATACAAGGTCACAGAGCAGAGAAGGAGTGATGACTGGGAACACTAATCCAATCTACCAAAAATAGTATCTGCACAGGTTTTCATGGATTTTCTTGGCTGCAGCTATAAACCACTTCCGTAAGAATTACATTTATTAAGCCATACGATATAGCCTCAGATTCTCATATATTTATTGCTATGACATGTGCACTATGTCACATTTCATTTGTTTTAGTTAAAATTGTAGCCTTAGCTAAAATAGATATAAAGCATTTTTCAAAGACAGAAACTCAGTTCCTTGCCTCTCTTTGCTCTGGCTTGCTCTGAAGCCAAAGAAAATCTATACAATTCTGTTCACAAAGGTAGCGCCTATAAATCCTTGCTGCTTTCCCTCAATCTGACTCACGTTTCTCACCAGTCTTCTCGTTTAACCTTTTAAACTAGCTGCTCTCCCTTTATTTCTGTCTCTCAAATATGCATCTTTAGGTTTGAACTCTTTCTCACACTGCACATATACATCCAACGGTCTAATGGGCATTGCCAATTGCATTCTTTTTAAACACCACGAATTATATCCACCTCAAACTAAATATCGTCATCTTTTACAAGAACTTCTTCCTTTCCTCATCACCTTGGTTGGCAAAGTCACTATTTTTCTGGTGTTACACTGCACCTTTGATATCAAGTCATTGTTGATGCTGTCCTGTCTTGCATTCCTTATACTTCATAAGACAAGCATTTTTCTCTCATACATGTTTTTCAAATTCTTTTGTTTTTTCAACACCTTGATCTCCTAATAATAGCTACTATGTAGTCATTACTTAATGTGTGCCAATCACTATGCCAGCATTTTACTATTAATATATTATTTGTCCTTTGGGGCAAATATTAGTCTCATTATGCTATAGATGAGAAGAGATCTCAGAGATTTGGAAGATAAGAAAAATTAAGCTTCAAGAAATTAAGTAATTTGCTTGGGGGCTGTGATCATGAAACTGTCTAAAGTCAATATCTATGCGAACTTTTACTTCTGTATCCATACTCTTTGTAGAAAAATAGATGGTGTTTGGTTTGAATAATATATTGTATTCCAATTCTCTTAACTCGATACAGTTGAGAGAACCAATATTTGTTGAATGCTTACTATATTCCAGGAGTGGTGCCAGATGCCAGATAGAGATCAGAAAAGACACAGTTTTTACAGATCAACAGCTGCTGACTAATAGTCAGAGAAAGTTATAAATAGAAAATGTATTAATAAATAAGATATTCATTATTATTGTTCTAGAAATCTAGTGACAAAATAATTTGCATTACTAAACCCTAGAAATACTATACTTGGAAATATATACACAAATTAAGCCGATTCTTCAGGCCCCAAACCATGTTAACCCAAAATAATTAAGTAATTAAAATAACTAGGTAATTACCAACTATGTTTTCATCTTAGCCATCAGGACAATTTCTATCTGTTGGTTCAAACTTAGTTAATATGTCTCATTTATAAATGAACAGACATTTTTAAAAATTAAATAAGGTTCTGAACTGAAGCAAAATGGTGAAGGCTGAGGAAAGATATTGCACCAACTCATCTCATCGTTTTCAGAAAAACACCCAGATCAATGGGAACCAAGAGAATTCACATGTTAAACACACTCCTTTCGCACCTTCTGAGGTGTAACCCTGTGAGCTTTAGTTTTAAGTGGTAATCAGCAATAACGTGTCTCTTGTTCTTTAATGTCAGTATTGGTGAATTAGTGATTAATTATCTCACTACAATTTAGTGCTTAAAATAATCCAAATGCATGAAGTAAATGAGTTGATAGGTAGGAAATTCTGTCATGCAAATTCATGCAATACAGACCCTCACTGTCACACTCATCGCTGACAATCTAAGTGGGTCACCAGAGTAGCTGGCCCCTGTTCATTTATTTTCTCAGATGCACCATACATATTCATGATACCCTGCTGTTTGTCTGTCACCTCAAAGAAGCCCTCTCTATCGTCAGAATCACAATTAACAGAAATGTGCACATTTAGCCAACGAATAGTAATAGACTCAAAGAGTTATGGGTCTGGTTTTATTTCAGTTTTTTTTTTTTTCAGGCTTTTACTACAGACTGGAAGCAGCAATTATTTGTCCATATGGTATTCTTAAAATGCTGGCTTGTGGGCAGTCATGTACAAGTCTCACAGAAAAGAGACTCCGTGAAGGCAAAATATTCATTCATTTTAGGGTTCCATGGCTTGCTAGACTGAAAACTATTCTATTCTAATCAACATTGAGTCAATGTAGATTAAATAAATGGAACTAAGCACGTGGGTGCGAAGCAGAGTGAGCATCCAGGTCTTATCCTTCAGGTGTGATTCTTGTTGACAAGACCATGAAATAGCTGTGACTATCATAGCAGAGGTGGGGCGAGGGACTCTGCCAAAGAATATTTTGTTCACTTGGGCATATTTTTTTTTTCCAAGAATACAATGAGTTTCATTAGCAAAGAGCTAGAAGATGCCGACATTATTCCATCTTGCTCAGGTACACAATGTAGTTATAGATGACTATAAAATCAAATACAGAAGTTTGAAAAGAGAGGAAATTTGGTTAGCATTCATTATTTTCAAAGATTATGTTTATTCACCATGAATCCTATTTGCAAGAATGGGACATTTCCTGAAGGTGGACACTTGTTTCACTTTAAGATTCTAACCCTTATTTTTTTCCACTTTATATCAAAATCTATGTAATAATATCTCCTTTTATGAATAAAAATATAATTTTTTTTAAAAAAGGAACTTGTCAATTATTTTTGAGTCAAGAAGTAAAGTAAGGAATAAGAATGGAGGCATATTATCTTACTTCTAAAAAGACACAAAAAATTAAATAGTAAAAAATATATTGCAATTTTCCCCAGAGCCTTCTTGTGTCCTTGTTGATATGCTCAAAGCAAAGGATTAGCTTCCTTGGCAATATTTATGTCAGGGCCACACTGATTAATTTAATATTCTGATTGGCTGAACAGCAGAGCTTGAATGGCTGTTAACTTTTTGGCAAGTAGTTCTGAGAGGGCGATAATGAGATTAACATTCAGAGGACCTGATTTGCTTTTTTGCTGTATTTAATTACTACTTTGACACCAAATAGTATTCACTATGAGTTCTCTAGATAGGATGCTATTAATCCACATCTGTGTCACATGGTGGGGCCTGCTTTGAAAACCTGTAGGAGATGGGGTCTTTAAAAACTGCCCTTTACAAGAAGAGGGGACATTTATGATGAAGGTCAAGTTAGCAAGAAGTGCTTGAAATTGAGTTTTGCCTCCTGCACAGTCTTTGGTGGTATGGAAATCCAGTTCCAAGTTCTTATTTATATTTTACTTATTTACAAACATTTTTACTGTAATTTTGTCATTTTCTTATTCCTCAAAACATTTTGGATGAAGTCTTATTGTGCCTAACTTATAAATGAGATAAACAAATGTGAATATACATACTGGCCAGAGGTTACATACCTTTATGCCTCTTGAGCTTAAATTCAGGCCTCTCTGCATCACAACATAGACTCAATTTGGCAGTAGAGAAGTCTAAAGTCACTTATTCTTTTATTACCTTCACAACTCTCAGGATTTGTAAACAGGCACTCTTATCGTTTCATACAAGTTAGAAAATAAAGGAGAAAATTACTGTTCAATACAGAGAACTACATGGTTAAACTTCTTGAGAAAAATTAAAACATTTCTCCTTTTTTTGTTTATTGATTTTTGCTTTTTTAAAATTATATTTTAAATTCTGGGATAGATATGCAGAACGTGCAGGTTCGTTACATAGGTATACACGTGCCATGGTGGTTTTCTGCAGCCATCAACACATCATCTACATTAGGTATTTCTCCTGATGCTATCCCTCCCCTAGCTCCCCACCCCCACAACAGGCCCTGGTGTGTGATGTTCCCTTCCCTGTTTCCATGTGTTCTCATTGTTCAGCTCCCACTTATGGGTGAGAATATGCAGTGTTTGGTTTTCTGTTGTTAGTTTGCTGAGAATGATGGTTTCCAGCTTCATCCATATTCCTTCAAAGGACATGAACTCATCCTTTTTATGGCTGCACAGTATTCCAAGGTATATATGTGCCACATTTTCTTTATCCAGTCTATCATTGATGGGCATTTGGGTTGGTTCCAAGTCTTTGCTATTGTGAACAGTGCTGCAATAAACATACATGTGCATGTTTGTTTATAGCAGAATGATTTATAATCTTTTGGGTATATATCCAGTAATGGAATTGGTGGGTCAAATAGTATTTCTCGTTCTAGATTCTTGAGGAATTGCCACACTGTCTTCATCAAGGGTTGAACTAATTTACACTCCCACTAACAGTGTAAAAGCGTTCCTGTTTCTCTGCATCCTCTCCAGCATCTATTATTTCCTGACTTTTAATGATCACCATTGTAACTGGCATGAGATGGTATCTCATTATGGTTTTGATTTGCATTTCTCTAATGACCAACAATGATGAACTTTTTTTCATATGTTTGTTGGCCACATAAGTGTCTTCTTTTAAGAAGTGTCTGTTCAAATCCTTTGCCCACTTTTTGATGGGGTTGTTTGTTTTTTTCTTGTAAATTTGTTTAAGTTCTTTGTAGATTCTGGATATTAGCCCTTTGTCAGATGGATAGATTGCAAAAATTTTCTCCCATTCTGTAGGTTGCCTGTTCACTCTGATGATAGTTTCTTTTGCTGTGCAGAAGCTCTTCAGTTTAATTAGATCCCATTTGCCAATTTTGGCTTTTGTTGTCATTTGGTGTTTTATTCATGAAATCTTTGCCTATGCTTATGTCCTGAATGGTATTGCCTAGGTTTTCTTCTAGGGTTTTTATGGTTTTAGGTCTTACGTTTAAGTTTTTTATCCATCTTAATTTTTGTGTAAGATGTAAGGAAGGGGTCCAGTTTTAGTTTTCTGCATATGGCTAGCCAGTTTTCCCAACACTATTTATTAAATAGGGAATCCTTTCCCCATTGCTTGTGTTTGTCAGGTATATCAAAGATCAGATAGTTGTAGATATGCAGCGTTATTTCTGAGGGCTCTGTTCTGTTCCATTGATCTATATCTCTGTTTTGGTACCAGTACCATGCCGCTTTGGTTCCTGTGGCCTTGTAGTATCATTTGAAGTCAGGTAGCATGTTGCCTCCAGCTTTGTTCTTTTTGCTTAGGATTGTCTTGGCTATACGGGCTCTTTTTTGGTTCCATATGAAATTTAAAGTAGTTTTTTCTAATTCTGTGAAAAAGTCAATGGTAGCTTGATGAGGATAGCATTGAATCTATAAATTACTTTGGGCAATATGGCCATTTTTACTATATTGATTCTTACTATCCATAAGCATGGAATGTTTTTACATTTGTTTGTGTCCTGTCTTATTTTCTTGAGCAGCGGTTTGCAGTTCTCCTTAAAGAGATCCTTCACATCCCTTGAAAGTTGCATTCCTAGGTATTTTATTCACTTTGTAGCAGTTTTGAATGGGAATTCACTCATGATTTGGCTTTCTGTTTGTCTATTATTGGTGTATAGGAATGCTTGTGATTTTTGCACATTGATTTTGTATCCTGATACTTTGCTGAAGTTGCTTATCAGCTTAAGGAGATTTGGGGCTGAGATGATGGGGTTTTCTAAATATACAATCATGTCATCTGTAAACAGAGACAATTTGACTTCCTCTCTTCCTATTTGAATACCCTTTATTTCTTTCTCTTGCCTGATTGCCCTGGTGAGAACTTCCAATACTATGTTGAAGAGCAGTGGTGAGAGAGGGCATCCTTGTCTTGTGTTGATTTTCAAAGGGAATGCTGAGCTTTTACCCATTCAGTTTGATATTGGCTGTGGGTTTGTCATAAAGGGCTCTTATTATTTTGAGATACATTCCATCAATACATAGTTTATTAAGAGTTTTCAGCATGAAGGGGTGTTGTATTTTATCAAAGGCCTTTTCTGCATCTATTGAGATAATCATGTGGTTTTTGTCATTGGTTCTGCTTACGTGATGGATTACGTTTATTGACTTACATGTGTTGAACCAGTTTTGCATCCAAAGGATGAAGCCAACTTGATCGTGGTGGATAAACTTTTTGATGTGCTGCTTGATTCAGTTTGCCAATATTTTATTGAGGATTTTCGCATCCATGTTCATCAGGGATATTGGCCTGAAATTTTCTTTTTTTGTGTGTCTCTGCCAGGTTTTCATATCAGGATGATGCTGGCCTCATAAAATGGGTTAGGGAGGAGCCCCTCTTTTTCTATTGTTTAGAATAGTTTCAGAAGGAATGGTACCAGCTTCTCTTTGTACCTCTGGTAGAATTTGGCTGTGAATCTGTCTGGTCCTGGGCTTTTTTTTTTGGTTGATAGGCTATTAATTACTGCCTCAATTTCAGAACTTGTTATTGGTTTATTTGGGGATTTGACTTCTTCCTGGTTTAGTCTTGGGAGTGTGTATGTGTCCAGGAATTTATCCATTTCTTCTAGATTTTCTAGTTTATTTGCACAGAAGTGTTTATAGTATTCTTTGATGGTAGTTTGTAATTCTGTGGGATCGATGGTGACATATACTTTCTCATTTTTATTGTGTCTGTCTGATTCTTCTCTCTTTTCTTCTTTAATAGTCATGCTAGTGGTCTATCAATTTTGTTAATCTTTTCAAAATCCAGCTCCTGGATTCTTTGATTTTTGGAAAGTTTTTTTTCATGTCTCTACCTCCTTCAGTTCTGTTCTGATCTTAGTTATTTCTTATCTTCTGTTAGCTTTTAGGTTTGTTTGCTCTTGTTTTCTAGTTCTTTTAATTGTGATGTTAGGGTGTCAATTTTAGATCTTTCCTGCTTTCTCCTGTGGGCACTTAGTGCTATAAATTTCCCTCTAAACACTGCTTTAGCTGTGTCCCAGAGATTCTGGTGTGTTGTGTCTTTGTTCTCATTGCCTTCAAAGAACTTACTAATTTCTGGCTTAATTTCGTTATTTATCCAGTAACCATTCAGAAGCAGGTTGTTCAGTTTCCATGCAGTTGTGCGGTTTTGAGTGAGTTTCTTAATCCCAAGTTGTAATTTGGTTGCACTGTGGTCTGAGAGACAGTTTGTTATGATTTCGTTCTTTTGCATTTGCTGAGAAGTGTTTTAATTCCAATTATGTGGTCAGTTTTAGAATAGGTGAGATGTGGCATTGAAAAGAATGTATATTCTGTTGATTTGGGATAGAGAGATCTGTAAATGTCTATTAGGTCTGCTTGGTCCAGAGCTGGGTTCAAGTTCTGAATATCCTTGTTAATTTTCTGTCACGTTGATCTGTCTAATATTGACAGTGGGGTGTTAAAGTCTCCCACTATTACTGTGTGGGAGTCTAAGTCTCTTTGTAGGTCTCTAAGAATGCGCTTTATGAATCTGGGTGCTCCTGTAATGGGTGCACATATAGTTAGGATAATTAACTCTTCCTGTTGCATTGATCCCTTTACCATTATGTAATGACCTTTGTCTTTTTTGATCTTTGTTGGTTTAAATTCTGTTTTATCAGAGACTAGGATTGCAACCCCTATTTTTTTTTTTTTTTTTTTTTGCTTTCCATTTGCTTGGTAAATATTCCTCCATCCCTTTATTTTGAGCCTGTGTGTCTTTGCACATGAGATGGGTCTCCTGAATACAGCACAGCAATGGGTCTTGACTCTTTATCCAATTTGCCAGTTTGTGTCTTTTAATTGGGGCATTTAGCCCATTTACATTTAAGGTTAATATTGTTATGTGTGAATTTGATCCTGTCATTATGATGCTAAGTGGTTATTTTGCCCATTAGTTGACACAGTTTCTTCATAGTGTCGATGGTCTTTACAATTTGGTATGTTTTTGAAATGACTGATACTGGTTTTTCCTTTCTGTATTTACTGCTTCCTTCAGGAGCTCTTGTAAGGCAGGACTGGTGGTGACAAAATCTCTCAGTCTGAAGTCAATCTGGGTCACTTGGGCTTGGTGAGGAGAGGGGTGTCCACCATTACTGAGGCTTGAGTATGAGGTTTTCCCCTCACAGTGTAAACAAAGCCGCTGGGAATTTTGAACTGGGCGGAGACCACTGCAGCTCAGCAAAGCCACTGTAGCCAGACTGCCTCTCTAGATTCCTCCTCTCTGGGCATGGCATCTCTGAAAGAAAGGCAGCAACCCCAGTTAGGGGCTTATAGATAAAACTCCCATCTCCCTGGGACAGAGAACCTGGCAGAAGAGGTGGCTATGGGCGCAGCTTCAGCAGACTTAAATGTTCCTGCCTGCTGGCTCTGAAGAGAGCAGCAGATCTCCCAGCACAGCACTTGAGCTCTGCTAAGGGACAGACTGTCTCCTCAAGTGGGTCACTGACACCCATGCCTCCTGGCTGGGAGACACCTCCCAACAGGGGTCGACAGACAATTCAGACAGGAGAGCTCCTGTCTGCATGTGGCATGTGTCCCTCTGGGATGAAGCTTCCAGAGGAAGGAACAGGCAGCAATTTTTGCTGTTCTGCAGCCTCCACTGGTGATACCCAGGCAAACAGGGTCTGGAGTGGCCCTCCAGCAAACTCCAGCAGACCTGTAACAGAGGGGCCTGACTGTTAGAAGAAAAACTAACAAACAGAAAAGAATAGCATCAACATCAACAAAAAGGACATCCACACAAAAACCCTATCTGAAGGTCACCAACATCAAAGACCAAAGGTAGAAAAATCCACAAAGATGAGAATAAACCAATGCAAAAAGGCTGAAAATTCCAAAAACCAGAACTCCTCTTCTCCTCTGAAGAATCACAATTCCTCACCACCAAGGGAACAAGACTGGACAGAGAATAAGTTTGATGAATTAATAGAAGTAGGCTTCAGAAGGTAGGTAATAACAAACTCCTCTGAGCCAAAGGGGCATGTTCTAATCCAATGCAAGGAAGCTAAGAACCTTGAAAAAAGGTTAGAGGAATTGTTAACTAGAATAACCAGTTTAGGGAAGGACATAAATGACCTGATGGAGCTGAAAAACACAACATGAGAACTTTGTGAAGCATACACAAATATGCTCCTTGATTCCTACATGGTTCCTGCTCATGGTACATGAGCTCTGTGCTCATTTTCTCAAGTGCTCTCCTCCTTCTGATGATGGTCTTGGAGTTTCCTCTTAACCCGAGTAATCCTCTAAGAGTCCCATCTTAGTCTTGCTGACCGTGATCTCCTTACATCATCCCAGCTGCTATCAGCTGCCCTGACTTGAGTGTGAGAGGCCCAGCTCCTCACTTCACCTGCTCTGGGTCCACATATCTGCCAGTGCTCGCCACAGAGGCAGGGAAAGCAAACCCCTTGCGGGGGAAATGTGGATGCAGCGGCAGTGAAGGGCGCTTGCTATGGTTGTCCTGTTTCCCTCCTTCTAAAGTTTCCTGCCATGTTTTTCCCAGCTACAAGTAAGATACATCAGAACTATGTTTGTGGCCATTCACTTTCTCTAGAAAGGCACGGGAAAAAAACATCTCAGCAACTGTAGCCCCTCACAGTGCATCAGTTGCTAAAAGGAAAGAAAAATGGGATCTTGCAATGATTTATTATTATATATAATGTATTAAATATAATATACATGGGAGTAAAAATGCCTGCAGGATTATAAACTAGGCTTTTAATGCATCTCTATGAACTTAGTATAAATGTTTATAGGGAAAGCTAGAAAGGCTTTGAACTGTTCACACTTATCGTGAGTTAGATGAATACAGAAGTCAGATTTTCATTTTGAGATGCCATTAAGCCTGCAGAGGCAAAAGTTTTTTTGGATAATTTAATAAGACAATGAGAGAAAAGTCCTTATCACCATGCCTGCCAAAGTGTAGCCACTCCCTGACTGGGGTAGTGATTGCATAATGACAGTGGCAGTAGTGGTGATAATGGTCATAGCAGTTGTGAAAGTGAATGGACTGAAGAAATGGTAAGCTCAGATAAACAGTAGAGAGATGTGTGTGTGTGTGTGTGTGTGTGTGTGTGTGTGTGTGTATCTTTCCAAAACACCAGAGTCCTGGCAGAATTCAAATAGACATTTTAAAAAACACTCCATGTGACTATTGTAACTAGCAAACTCCACAATCTAGTATTGTTTCCTCTACTTTCCAGTGGTCACACTCCCCTGGACTTTTGCTGTCCTTCTTGGATGCCACAGTGTCAGAATATGGAGAAGCAGGGTTCTGTTCTGAGAAGAATGGGCATATTACAAGAATGGCTGGGACATTGGAGAAGTCTGCCCTGGAGAACAGAATCCTCAGGGATTCCTGAGAGCAGGCTTCACTTTTGTGAAGGCAGTTACAGGGGACGGGGTGGCTGTCTTCCCATGGGCCCTAAAGGTTGGAGCCTGAACCGGTGGGAAATAGATTTTGTCCCAGTGAAATGAGTTTTGTAATGGTCAGAGCTTCCGAAATGGAACCGGGCTGTCACAGGAAGAAATGAATTTCTTGTCGTTTAGGACATTCAGAATAAAGAGTTCATGGAGGATGGAAAGGAGCAAGGAGTGCTTTAGCCCAGTGTATTTGTTTGAGAATGTCTGTATCTGAGTATGTATACATATATGTATCCATATATGCACAGAAAACAGGGTTGGGTGGATGGACTTTTAGGGCCTTTGTAGCTCTAGGATGCTATATTTTTTATGAGTAGGGATTATTTATCCACGTTCTATTTCTTTTTGTTGTTGTTGTTTTACTACACATACTAAATCAAATGCAGGGCTCATGGATTTTATTTTATTTTTTATTTTTTTTAACAACAAGTGAGTGCTGATAGGTGGAAGGAGAGTAACCAGGAATTTAGGAGATGTAGGTTTAACATCTCCTAAATTAGCATTGCCACCTACTAGCGGTGTGACCCCGGGCAAATAAACTTTCTTTAAGACATAATTTACCACACTGATAAAATATAATCTTAGGACAAATCTGATCTATTTTTTTCTCATTTAACATTCTATGATTACTCAGGCTACTCATAAATGAGTCTATATACATTTTATACATTTATTAGTTTTGGCCAGTGTGAAGAGAGGGGGAAAATTATCTGCACTCAGGAGGATAACGAAGCCTTCCCATCTGAGGGTATTTCATATGTTGACACATACCTTTATTTTTGCAATTTTTTTTCACAGACTCCTGCCACTAGTTTTTTCTCCAAGCAGCATCTTTTACTTATTAACAGAATCCTGGGTGAGACACTCAAGAATGAAATAGCACTTTTGCTTACTTACAGCACGAATTTTGTTACCATCCAATAGTACACGTAAGAGCTGCACATTTATATTTGATTTGTAACATTTCTTTGTGGTACAGTGTCCTGGGCTGCAGATTTAAATGGATTCCTACCACTGTTCTCCTGGCATGGTGAGGTCATTACACATCTGTTTGCAAAGCCACATCAGGGTTTCTTCCCTTGACTTGACTTCAATCTGGGTTCCAAGGCTTTCTGATTATTAAGCTGCAGAGAGTTCAAATTTGCTATCAGACAATTGGAACTAATTGTCTGAGACAATTTACATCCATCAGTGCAGGGTTTTATGGCTTTTCAGACTCTTCGTAAGATGAATAAATAACGGAGCTTGAGTCATTACTCTGCTTTATTACCTGCAATGTTCCGGGGAACCCGAAGATAATTTAGGCACTATGACTCCGTCGGATAGTGGACAGTTGTCAACTTGTGGGTTCTGGTGGTATTTTGCAATCTGTCCACTTTCACCCTTTACAATTCCCACCTTAAAACCAATGAATTGAGTTGTTTTGTTCTGTTGTTTTTGTCATTATTGTTTTCAGTAGGGAATTCTATTAAAGAAATGAGAGTAACTTTTGCTTTTCTTTTGGTAATTCGGGCTTCTATTTCCATCCTCTTCAATCCTCATCTTGTCTCATGCACACAGACACTTCATTCTTTTGCACACTTAATGGACCCAGAGGAAGCAAGTATCATCCTTTTCATCTCGCAGCTTTGACTTTAGTGCGGCAGAGGCTGCCCAGCCAAGGATCCTGCCGGTTGGCATGCTCACCTCACACCCATGCTAGTCAGTGAGACGGTTCACCAGCTCTTGCTTGGACAAGCCCATTTTAAAGTCTTTTAATATAGCTTCGAAAATGAATTTTTCAGTGTTTCTAGGGAAGTGTTAAATCATAGTTAAATCATTTTACTGTCTGGAAATTCACCCCAATTTGGATTTATTTTCTAAATTTATTTTTACAAAGACATTGTAGCTTTGTATTTTTCTGGCCCCATGTTACACATGCAACTAGTGCAAAGATATTTGGTTCGTTTATTAAAAATAGTCAATGAGGGTTGTTTAGTCAATTCCTAGTTTCCTTTTGAACAATTCTTTTATCTGTATTATTATATGATTAGGAGAAAATCCACATTGAACTTCCATTTAATTTTAGAGAAAAGAAAGGGATGGCATGGCTACATTGATCTGAGAGAAATAAATTAAAAAGACACAACGTTCAAACAAAAGTGTCTTTGTGTATCCTTCTCTATGACAATCTTGTGTTCCCATGCCATTAATCATGAGAAGAAGAAATGTTAGAACTCAGATTTTAGGGGTGAAGGATACATATGTAAAAAAGACAAAGTCTGGATGTGAACTTTAATAAATGTGAAATCAATAAAAATTTATCGAATGCTTAATTTAATGATTGGGCATACAGGACTGAATAAGACACCTTGACCTGTCTTCAGAGAACTCACATTCAGCATGCAGTGGATACTCCACAAGGAAATGTAACAGGACGCAGTGATTGCTTCAGTAGACGTACAAACGCAGTGGAAAGAACAGCTTGCTTTGAGTTCACTTAGGGAGGTATTCTCAGAACCGATTCATGGGACATTCCTTGAAGGATGAATTAAAGCTTGCCGGAAAGACAGAGAGGTAAAATTCATTCTAGTCAGATGTACTAGCGCGAGACCAGCTCCAGCTGGCTGCTCATTCCCTGATTTAAGATTTGAAATTTAGTTTGATTTTCTCCTTGGTCCTTTTTTCTTCTTTTCCTGTCGCCTATACTAATCTTGCCTTTTAATCCTAATTAAGGATTGAAAGTGCTGAAATAAGCAATTTTCCTCACTTTCTAGCCCTGTCCTGGGCAGTCTCAACGATAGAGAAGTCTGCGGACATGAGGTCGGTGTTGGCAATGCACAGGTTCGTCCCCCAACCGGACCCTCTTCTGGGGTACACCTGCCTCTAGCTGTTGCTCCCCATGCATGGGGGTTCTCCTGGGCTCCCTTGGTCTGACACAAAAGCCTCTTGAACTCTCTTCCTCACCTCCTCAAACTCACTCTTCAAAAACCCCAGGATATAAATTCAGATCGCGTCATACCACTCTGCTGCCTAAAAGTTTCAATGGCTTTCATTTCCTTTGAGATTAATTTCAAAAACCTGAACAGCACCTGTGAAATCCTGCTCAGTTGAATCCCAGGTTCCCTCTCAGCTTCCTCGCTTGGCTCCCCACTCCCTCCCAGCTCTGCCCTCACAGGGCCTCTGCCTTAGAAGAAGCAGCCTCTGTCCACCTCAGGGCTCTCCCATCTGCTTCTTCTGTCCATGATTCTCCGTCTGTTGCTCTGTGCATCAGGAATTATTTTCCCATCATTTTTCAGGGAAACCTTGCTAGGTCCCTCAGACTAGCTTCTATCTCCACTTAGTACATGCAGCATGTAATACAATCACAGTTTAATTGTAATAAATCTGTTCATCATGCAAGATTCTATGTTCCCACGGGCAAGGATTGTGTGCTCTTCACTGCCATATTCCCTGCGGTTGAGGAATGAATAGAAGAAAAGAAGAAAGGAAAGAAGAGTGGGAAAAAAGGCAGGCATATATGAGGAAGATAGAAGAACATTTCTAAAATGATAAATTAATATCATTATATATTCACCAAATTGTGAGTAATCCAAGAAGGTAGGTTCAAGAGTTGACCAATTAGAGAAAAATATGAAATTAAGATAAACATGAGAAATACAGGTCCTATGTTATAAACTCTTGACTAGAAGAAAGGAGACAGAGCTCCATTCTCTATCTAAGTTAAGTGTGCCATTCTGAGGAAGTCACTTAAGCTTTCTGGGTCTGAGCTTATTCAACAGTAGAAGGAGGAGCTGTGATGAAAAGATACACCATGGAATACTATGCAGCCATAAAAAAGAATGAGATCATGTGTTTTGCAGGAACATGGATAAAGCTGGAAGCTAATTATCCTTAGCAAACAACTGCGGGAACGGAAAAACCAAATACTGTATGTTCTCACTTATAAGTGGGAGCTAAATTATGAAAACATATGAACACAAAGAAGGAAATAGACAGTGGGGTCTACTTGAGGGCGGAGGGTGGAAGGAGAGAGGTGAGCAAGAAAGATAACTACTGGGTACTGGGCTTAATTCCTGGGTGATGAAATAATTTATATGACAATTCCCCATGACACAAGTTTACCTACATAACAAATCTCCACATGTACCCCCAAACCTAAAATAAAAGTTAAAAAATGCCTCAAAATTCTAAGATTCTAAGAATAAGTGGCATGGCCAAAAAGTAACCCTTTTTGGCAGAAAGCAAGCATAGTGGAAGAATAGAGAAGAAATGGAAGAGACTGAAAACAAGCAAAAAAGAAAGCCACTAGGAGAACACACGGATCACATTTACCCAGCAGATTGTGGAAAAGCTGCGTGACATCGAGCTTTGCCTGATTGGTCTTATTGGAGTCAGTGAGAAATAACTATGTGTCTCAGATTTGATGAAGGAGGAAACCAAAAGCGAACTCTGAAGAGACTGACATGTAGACGAACCATCATGAGAACTGAAGTCAACCGATCTTGGTTTTAAATCCAGTTGTAATCACGTCTGGCCACACCATTTGGTGACCCAATCAGAGGCTCAGAACCCTCAATTATTAAGCAAGGATAATAATGTCTATCTTCATTTCACAAGAATTAAACAAGTTAATATAAATAAAAGCAACTGACACAGTGTATGCTCAGAAATACTTGCTCAATGAAGGAAGTTAGAGTTGAAGAGGAGTAGTGTGGACTGGCCGGGAACCATCACTGCATTTAGGAGTTGCACCATCTGTGAGTGATTTGACAATGGAGGTGGCAACCTGACTAGCAAGTAAAAGATTGATTATGCTACATGAGTAAAAAATTGACGAGATCAAGTAATTGGACATGCTAAGATGAGTTCAGAGAAATTTCAACAGTGACTTCCAAGTTGGAAGCATAGATAATTTTTTAAATATTTGGGATCATTTGTACCCCACAACGGTAGGACTAGGAGTTGGCACTATGTAAAATGTCGATAAGTATCATTTTTCAATTTCATAAAAATTATTAATGATGGAATATTCAAGTGTATATATATAAATAATAATAATAATAACAAGCCCACACTCACCGAACACTGACTTTCTGCGGGTTCTCCTGTAAACAGAACTTGATGTATAATAGTACGTGCAGGCAGGTGGTTTGCTTAGAGAGTGGTCCCAGGAGATAAGAGATGGACCGAAAGTGAAAGATGGAAGAAGGAAAAACAACACAAGGATGTGTTATCAAGTCAGTCCATAATACAGGCAATGACCCTCAATTCTGTGGGACATTCTTAGCAGATTTAGGAAATAAACCTCAGAATGGTTCAAAAGAAAAGAAGTGAAAACATCTATTCCTTATCTTCCATTCCCCTTGGTCAAGGGTGGTACAAGGCATTAACTCCCCTGCACTTCCAGGTCCTGCATCTTTTATTATCCAGCAGCCTTGGTGGGTTTTCCCGAATGAGTCATCTTCCTCAGGGCATTGGAAGCCCTGAGGCAGGAAGAGAGAGGAGCACAGCATGGGGCTGAAATGGGCGGAAATCATGTCAAAGACATCTGTGGAGTCAGGTTATTTGAGAAGTGATCCCATCCAGCAGGGAAGAGAGGCACTGTGAGTCACTCAGGGAAGAAGAGAAAGACAAGACCAGGATGCATGTGGAGTGTGCTATCACCTTAGGGAAACGGGACTCAGATTTATGCGAGCTTCGGATAAGTTTAATGAAATATCTCAGAACTGTCCACACAAGGAAAGATAAGAAACAGTATCTAATGGCTCCCACTCCAGTTGGGTAAAGATGACTGTTTCTGAGTTGCAGATCATGCTGCAAGATCAGAGAAGACCAGGCAGGTAGATATCACTGTGCAGCAAGGGCTCTCAGACTTAGACACTCTCTGGTTACATTCTGTGCAAAGACAGTGAAGGTCTGCAGTTGAAGCTTTGGGAGTAACTCGAGACAGAGTTAAGAGATTAGAAGTGGGGTATAAGACATGTCTGAAACTAGCACAGGCTACTTCAAAAATACTAAACTTTTCTTGCAGTTTTTTTATTTAGTATTAAGTTTTTCTGTAGATGATAGAGACCTAAAATAATAGTGATAAACTAGATAGAAGTCCAGAGGCATTCAGTCAAGGCCTGCTGTGGTGGCCATTATTCAGGAGAGCCTCAGGGACTCAGAGCTTTTGGCTTTCATTAGCTTTCATTTACATGTTCCTCTGTTGATGGTCTTCAGCTTCACCATCCATGATCGAGATACAGGACCTTATGTTTTTTGTGCAAGCAGTGCAACACAGGAAGGCTTAAAGAAAACGGAAGAAGGCTTTTAATTAGGGTCTTGATGAAGCCGTGAATCAATCTCTTTTGTATTTAATGCCACTTTTATAATCAAACTCTGTGCCTGATTTTTAACACAGCCTGCCTTCCTGGGGCAAGATTTAACTGTTATTAAACATTTCAATAAAAGCACTCTTGTAGCTCCTTACTAAAAAAAAGTTCTCGGAAGCTGCAATTCAAAACTTCTACTTATATCCAACTGACAAGAACTTAGTTTCATGGCCACACTTAGCTTCATGAGAGGCTGAAACATGTTTGTATTCTGGGTGCTGAGAAGTCATGTAAAAATCCTATCCTGGGGAAAAAGGACTTTGGGGAAATGTAGCAGTTTCTGCCACATGTGAATACTTGCATTTAGTCCTTCTGCAATCTTTCTGAGAGTTACTGTTGTAATCTCGTTCCTAGTGTCTGTTTGACCACATTCTCTTTCTTACCTTTTGTTTCCCATTGTTTTGCAAGTTAGAAGTTTTGTTTTATTTAATTTTTAACATACGTATTTTAAATTTTGCTATTAGTGTCTGAAGTTAATAGTTTTTATCTTTTTTTCTGATAAGACAAGGGCTTTGGAACTCGTTAAAATCCCTCCACACTCACGGACACCCACAATCTTCTTTAGGTTTCTTAATTTTCACTTTAGAATTTTTATTATAAATTATACCTACACAGAAATAGTGCATAAAATAAAGACGGAAAGTTGGTATAAGTATTATCGTAAGGTGAATATTGGTATAACCACATGCAGTTTAAAATGAGATGATACTGCCAGAAGCCCAGAAGCTCTCATTTGCTTCTCTTAGTCATTATCACTTCCCTGTCTCCTCAGTGTAAGGAGCCACACCGTTATGGAAATTTTTTTCCTTTCCTTTATCACGTAAGCATGCAGCCATAGACACTACAGTTTACTTCTTCCATTTTGTAAACCCTATTTTTCTCTGTATTTGAAATCATGTTATATGAAACCATGATATACATACAATCATAAAACATATTTTATGTATTGCTTTTGTGTTTTTGCTTTTTTTTTTTTTTTTTGGAAACAGGGTCTCACTCTGTCAACCAGGTTGAACTGCAGTCGTGTGATTTTGACTCACTGCAGCCTGGACCTCCTGGGTTCAAGGGATCTTCCCACCTCAGTCTTGAGTAGCTGGGAACACAGGCAAGTGCCACTATGCTGGACTAATTTTCGTACTTTTTGTAAAGATGGGGTTTCATCATTTTGCCCAGGCTGTTCCCGAACTCCTGAGCTCAAGCAATCTGCCCGCCTTGGCCTCTCAAAGTGCTGGCATTACAGGCATGTACCACCACGCCAGGCCTTGTATTGCTTTTTTAAATGAACAATGTATTTGGGAAATTTATTCATGTTGATTCACATACCTATGGCTTGTTGATTTCATTGAAGTTTAAATCCCATTGTCCCATGTATGAATACAATTTAATATTTAAAACTATATGTTTTAGAATCTTGGATTTTAAGTCTCTGATTCATTTTGAGTGGAATTTTGTGAAAGGTGCAAAGTCTGTCTAGAGATTTTTTCTTTTCTTTTTTTTTGGGTGGGGGGGCATGAGCATGTCTAATTGTTCCAGTACCATTTGTTAAAAAGACTATGCTTTCTCTATTGAAGTACCTTTGATTCTTGCTTTTGTGCAAGTATGATTTAACTATATTTGTGAGGGTCTACTTCTGGGTTCTCTATTCATTTCCACTGGTGTTTGTTTTTTCTTTTGTGTTGAGTACTGTAGCTTTAAGTCTTCAAGTTAGGTTGGGTCAGTCCTCTAATTTTGTTCTTCTTCAGTATTATATTGGCTATTCTGGTTTTCTTGCTTTTCCACCTAAACTTTATAATCAGTTTGCTAATAACCATAAAAGGATGTGCTGGGATTTTGATTGGAATTGCACTGAATCTATAGATCAAGTTGGGCAGAATTATCCTCTTAATACTGAGTCTTCCAACTCCATGGACACAAAGTATCTCTCATTTATTTAGATCCTTGATTTATTTCCTCAGAGTTTTGTAGTTTTCCTCATATTGATCCTGTATATATTTTGTTAGAATTGACCTATTTCAACTTTTTTGGTGACAACATTAATGCTATTTTGTTTTAATTTCCAGTTCCAATTGTTAATTACTGTTAAATAGAAAAGCAATTGAGTTTTATATATTAAACTTGTATCCTGCAATATTGGTATGATCACTTGTTTGTTCCTCAAGTTTATATTGATTCTTTGGGATTTGATACTTGTGAACAAAGATCATTTTGCTGTGGTTATATTGATATAACCACATACAATTTAAAATTAGGTGGTATTGCCAGCAGCCCAGACGCCCTCACATACTCCTCTCAGTCACTGTTACTTCCCTCTCTCCTCAATGAACGGAGCCACACTGTTACGGAGAATATTTCCTTTCCTTTAAGGCCTTATCACATAAGCGTGCAACCATAGTCACTATAGTGAATTTTTATCTCTTTCTTCCCAGTCTTTGTACCTGTCATTTCCTTTTCATGTCTTCATGCTTTAACTAGGATTTTCAGCATGATGCTAAATAGAAGTGGTGAGATGGGGCATCCTTGCCTTGTTTGCAATCTAAAGAGGAAAACATGGAATTTTTTTTTTATCTTAAGTGTGTTATTAGCTGCAGGTTTTTTAGATGTTCTTTATCAATGTGGTGCCATTTTCTAAGTTGGCTGAGAGATTTTTATTGTGAATGAGTGTGGGACTTACCAAATGCTTTATTTGCATTTGTTGATATGATCATATGATTTTTCTCCTTTAGCTTGTTTATCTGATGTACTACATTAATTAATTTTGAATGTTGAACCAGCTTAGAATACCTGGAATAAATCCCACTAGGTTATATCATTTTTATACATTATTGTATTCTATTTGTTAATATTATTTGAGGATTTTTGTATCTATGTTCATAATAGATATGCATTTGTAGTTTTTCTTTCTTGTAATATTTTTGCTTTTTGTTTTGGTACTAGGGTAATACTGGCTGCATAAAATGAGTTGGAAAGTATTCCCTGTGTTTCATTTTTTTGAAAGACATTGTAGAGAATTGATATCATTTCTTTTCATTTGGTAGAAATCACCAGTGAAATCATCTGGGCCTCATGCTTCCTGTTTTGGAAGGCTATTATTTATTGATTTAATTTCATTAATAAATATAGCCTTATTCTAATTTTCTATTGCTCTAGATGTGAGTTTTGATAGTTTGTAAATTTCAATTATTGGTCCATTTGATTTACATGATCAAATTGGTGTTCATATAGTTTTTCATAATAATGTATTATTACATTTTTAATGTTTTTGAAACACTGGTAGTAATGTAGGGATAACCCTCTTTTATTTCTGATATTATTAATTTTTATCTTTTTCTTATTATTTCCTTGAATGTTCATGAGTTTTTTGATCTTCAAAAATCAGCTTTTGATTTTATTGATTAATTTCTTATTTCAATTTCATTAATTTCTGCTTTATTTTTTATTTTTGTTTTAACATTTTTCTCTGTGCATTAGGCTTGCATTGTTTTTCTTTCTCTGGTTTCCAAAGATAGAAGCTTATAGATTTTAAATTTTAAAAAATAATATATGGACTCAAACTTTAAGCTATACATTTTCCTCCAAGCACTGCTTTCATTGTATTCCATAAAACTTGAGGTCACATTTTCATTTTAATTCATTTTATACATATAAATATATATTTAATTTTTTTGAGAGCTGTTCTTCAATCCATTTCTTCTTTATAAGTATTCCATCAGTGCTTCCAGTATTTGAGTATTTTTAAATGTTTTCATTCTGATTTCTAGTTTAGTTCCACGCGTGGGCTAAGAGCATACTTTGTATGATTTTTATTCCTCTAAATTTGTTAACACTTATTCTGTGGCTCAGTATACGGATTTCCCATGACAGCTTGGGAAAATTATGTATTCTCTCATTGTTTCTGTAAGTGCCATTCAGGTCAATCATATTCGTACTGATTTTCTGCCTGCTGAATTTATCAATTATTGATAGAGAAATGTTGAAGTCATCAACTATAACAATGGATTAGTCTATTTCTCCTTGGAGTTCTATCAGTTTTTTTTTCCTGACATATTTTAATGTTCTGTTACTGTGTATTTTTAGAGAATTAACTCCTAAATAATTAAACAATGCTTCTCATTTTCCCCGATAATTTCTTTTGTTCTGAAATCTGCTTTGTCTGACATTAACATCACTTCCACTTCCTTTGGTTAGTGTAGCAAGATATACTTTCTATATTCCTTTACTTTTAATCTATGTGTTTACATTTAAGTATTTCTCTTATAAATTGCATAATTTTATGTCATCTCTTAATTCATTCCTTTAGTTTTCGCATTCTGAGTTCTATATTTTAAGATCTGTCTCATGTTAGGGGCTTCTTTGGGGGTGGGGTTGCTCTTTTTGACTGAATTAAAATTGTCTTTTCATTAAATTATCTAGTTTATTTATGCTTTATGCAATTACTGATATAGTTGAGTAGATTTTTGTCACAAATATTTTGTGTTTCTCCTTTTCTCTTCTACTTTTTTTGATTGCTGTAGTGTTTCTTAATATGTTTACTTTGCCTCTCTTAGCATACCATTTATGCACTTTATTTTTTCAGTGACCACTCTAAAGATTTCATTTTCAGTTTATCATATCTAATATTAATGTTGTTAAATGTTATTGAAAGCAGATATTTTACCTCTGCCAGATAATTTCTTGATATTAAAACGCTTTAATCCCACTTAGTCTAATTTCTTCCTGACTTATATGCTCATATGCATTTAATGTGGGTGAGTGTTTAGCCTAGTCAGACATTATGATTTTACATTATAATGTAAAGCTAAAGATTTAAAAAAGCTATTTAGCTTCTACCCACAGACTTACTTTTTTCATCTATCTTTCTTGTGGTAGCTCTGTGCTTCCACCTGGGAGCTGAAATTCAGTCCATCACTTACCCAGAAGTCCACTATGACTATCCCAATTTTATACGTGGGATGGTGGAGGCCAGAAATGATTTAGCAACTTATTCATGTCACGTAACTAGAAGGTAATATTGGGGATCTGTTAGAATCCCAAGCTTATATGGTTAACAACTTCTGTCACTCATTTATTTAGTCATAAGCTAACACTTGAGAAAGCGGGAAGGACTACAAAAAATTGGGGAATACAAAGACGTGTTCATTGGGTTTATGAGATTAGGTATCCTGGTGACAGAGGAGCAATGGAAGATAGAAATTGGCCAAGCGCCTTCCTTAGGGCAAAAATGAAACCAGGAAGACGGGGACAGCATCGTAGAAGGCAACAGAGAATTTCCAGGACCTCCTCATGATTTGGGGAGTTAAATCACAAAGTATCAAGATGAACATTGTTACTTTTGCAAAAAATATTCATATAAAAATTAAGTATGCTCGAATGTATAAACAAGGAGAAAATATTGTGGTCATTAGTTGTAGTAGCTCAGGCAAAGCAATGATCACATATGGCGTGAGGAACCGTGTATGTTCCAAGACCAAGGGGCAGGAAAGGATGGAGGGAGAGAAAGGAGGGAGGGAGGCAAGGGCTAGAAGCACGTAATGAAAACCCCAGCATTTTAGAAACACCGTATAGCTAAGATCCTCTAAAAGCAGGACTCACAACCCTGCTTTCTGTAAACCAAATCAGCTCTTAGCCTGTTTTTTCTGGGAGGTAAGATGGTTTTCATGTTTTTAAGGGTTGTAAAACATACAAACAGCAATAAAATGATAAAGAAGAAATGCAGTTCAGATCGTAGGTGACGAGGAAAGCCTAAAATATTTACTATCTGGATCTTTACAAAAAATCTACCAGTTTCTGCTTTAAAGCAAAATAATACATACTTAATGTTATTAATATGAAGTTTTATTTCACTTTCAATTTCGAGTAGAATTGCTGAGGATAACATGATTCTCAAAACCTCATTTTCCCTAATGCCATCTTCCTAAACTCCCTATCCTGTCTTCAATTCCTTTACTCTGTGTTATAACTGAGACTTCGTACATAATAGCCTTTCTGCTTAGAATTCCTTTATTGACTTTTAACAATTTAATATCTACTTATAATTTGAATCTCTGTACATTTTACACTTCTTAAAAACTTTTTCTATTATTTCCAAGGATTGTGTAGTTTTCCTTTCGTTTTATTTTTCCAGAGTGTCTAGGACTAAGTTTTGCTATTGTCATAATTGTTATGCTTTGGTTGTGTTTGTCTGTCTCCCCTGCTAGACTCAAGCTCTAAGAAGTAAGCAGCTGTGTTTAATCTGTGTATTATATAACCAAAGACAAAGCTAGTGCCGGCTAATGAGTTATTACTTGCTAAGCAATGAATGAATGAAAGTATCACACTATGATTTCAGTTCTCTGAGTAGGAAAACTCTTTGTCACTGAAAATTTTTAAGAATGGAAGACAAGTTTTAATCCTTTTTGACTCACTGAAAAAAAAACACAAAAAGTACATACAAAAGTCAGAGTCCATGTAGCACATGGTTGTTTCATTTTATAAATTATTTTGCTCTTTAGGCAACGGTGAAGATATCAATGCTTTAGAAAACCAGAATCCTTTTGAGCTCTGTTACTTCCTCTTTTTTCAATACACACTTTTATGTTTATTCACTTATTCATTCTTTCACTCATTTCAGAAATAATTGTTCAGTATGTGCTACATTGCAAGACATTGTGCTAAGTACAGAGAGTGTAACATGATTAAGACAATTCACTGTCACCTCTTAGTGTGGGAGTTGAAAACTTGCCATTCCTAATTTAAATGTTTCTTCCTTGATGAAGACTTCACAGGTCACCAGAGCCAGAAGTCATCTCTTCCTCTTCTAAACTTGAACGTCAATTTACACAATAGCACTCACGGAATTTTCATGTCAAGCAAGAGCTCTTTGAGGACAGGAATTTTCCCTGATGTATCACTGTATTCTCCCACAGCTCCTAGAGTGCCTTTCACTTAGCAAGCACTCAGTAAACACTGCTATGATGGACTGAAAACATGGAAAGTAAATGTATCCAGCAAGGAGGAAAATGTCTCAGGATTTCACACGCATTGTCTTAAGCAATATTGCATTGTTTGATAGTCAAGAAGCCCTTTAGGAAGCATATAAGATATACATTTTAAAAATGTTCAAACATCTTCATTTTAGAAATGCCTGAACACAGACTATGGAAAAAGAAAAAAAGATCTTCCAAGCCAAATGTAAAAAAAAAAAAAAGAAAAAAAAATCCATGACATGATTTAGGATGTAGTCATATGGTTTACAGGTTACAGATAACCAGATAACTACAGGGAAGATTTCTGACCTACAAACTGAAGAATAATTCTGAATTATTATTTGAAATAATAGTAAAGAATAAAAATCTTCTCAATTTGAGTGATGATCTTTTTATACACTTAAGCAAAATCAAATAAGAAATCATGCCGATTCACATAAAGCTACCTTATATTATTGGTCTAAGTTAAATAAGCATGGTTAAAATATATATTACATTACAACTCATGTTTGTGATCCTGAGTTTGTCTTCCAGTAGCTTTGTCACTTTTTCAGGTTATGGAGTCTTTCAGGATGTCTGCATAACTATCTGTTAGGTGTGTGATCAGAAGGAACTGCGTAAGACTTCGGACAGAGGAGCTGGCTGAGCCTCTTTAAGGCATCCCTCCACTCAAGCACTCACCAGCTCTACCTCCATCTGAACACTGCTCTGATTAATCTTCTGGAAGTTTAAACATGCTGTCTTCATTTCTGTGTCAACTACTAAATTTGATCATATTTATAGCAATCAATCCTATCCATGCATGCTACTTTTAATGCAATGAAAGTGTTATTTTGTTTTATTTAGGTATTCTTACATTTCAAATCAATGCCCACACTGTAAAATGTGAAAATTATTTTACTATTTATTATGTTATTACAATGAATATTTGTTTTGCTAGCAAACAGGTATCTCCCTCACGCCAGAGCTGCTGTATCCTCTGAGAAGCCAAAGCATAATGGACTTCCGAGTAGGGAAATTATGAACGCAATGAAGGCACTATGCTTAGTTTTCATCCCATCACTATTGCTAATTAGCTACTTAGCCCTGTGCAAATCATCTGCATCTCTATCTCATCAATTCAAATGTGGAGGACTTTGCCATCCCTAATTCAGAGTCATGATGACGACAGGTAGTAGACACGGGTGTGTCACTGTGTGAAACCAAAGGCAACAGTCTTTCCTTCAAAAATGGAAAAGGGAGAAGCACTGGGTTTCCATGTGAAGATATGCCAATTATAAATCATAATAATCTCTGTTGAAAGAATCAAATTACTGAAAGGAAAGTTAATTCTCTTTTTTCTACATAACTACCATCAAATTATTAGAAACAGCATTAAACAGAAAGTAAGCTATGATTCAAAACTTTGCCAGGTGTGGTGGTTCATGCCTATAATCCCAGCACTTTGGGAGGCCGAGGCAGTTGGATCACTTGAGGCTAGGAGTTCGAGACCAGCCTTGTCAACATGGTGAAACTCTGTCTCTACTAAAAATACAAAAATTAGCTGAGTGTGTTGGTGGGTGCCTGTAATCCCAGCTACTAGGAAAGCTGAGGTGATAGAATCACTTGAATCCAGGAGGTGGACGTTGCAGTGAGCCGAGATCGTGCCACTGTACTCCAGGCTGGGAGACAGAGCAAGACTCTGTCTCAAGAAACAAGCAAAAAAAATTTTCCATCAGTAATCTTACAAATTTAAGTAAGCAAAATAGTTTCTCGATTTCTAACTTCAAAGATATCTTTATTGCTATTTGTAAAATACAGTGAACACAGAAATGTAGATGTGCTTATATCAGTCAGTTACAGTCTGATTAAATTTTTAACAAGGGGAACATTTTAATTTATTGCTACGTAATTGGAAGAACAAGGAAGGATACAAAGTTCCATAAAAGTAAAAATAAATAAAAAAGAGGGCAGGAGACTTCCAAAGTAATCTCTTACTTTGCTCCATTGCTCCATTTCAGTATTTTTAAAAAGATTTCCAGGGCTCTTGAAGAAAGTTTAATTTTTGTTGCTTTTATTGTTATTTTTTTATTGAGGGCAAGTTTCAGTCTGTGGCTTCTTAGTGGTTGGCTTTTATAGTTAACTCCAGGAAGAGCGATATCAGCACCATTAGACTCAAAGTGTGTTTCCTTTATCAAGTGCTGATCATTTCAATCACAGGAAATAAAAACTTAAGAGCTTTCGGGATGTTGTATGAAAGTCACACAGAAACATGACCTGGTCATTTTACCTTAGGCAATCTATGGAGATACTTATTCTTTTATCTGTTTTGCAAGCCTGGTATTATAAGGTTTGCATTAACTTCTTCAAAGGAGTAATTTAACTAAAAAAAAAAAATTTGATTCTTTCAGTCATCTATAATCATTTATAAATCGAAACATATTTAATTTAATTTTGTCAATATCTAACCCAGGGCTGCAAAGATGTAGTATCAGCTTTTGATAAACTTCATAAGGTTTTTAGCATCTGTGAGAGAAAGAGTATAGAGGTGAGGAACATAGGGAAGAAATGGTGTTTAGGCAAGTGAGCATCTGGAGAAGTGTGGAGGGTGAGGCTTGCATGGTCACCACGGCCAGCTGACTGCTTTCAACTCTTTGTCCTTTGTATTTGTTTTTTTAAAAGTTTATTTCACATAGAAGAATTTAAACTGTTAGTAAATTAAAATCATATTAGTTTCATCCAGGTAGTTTTGAAAGTATGCAAATCAAGCTGTTTTGATCGCTATTCATGGGAAAGCACAATACCCAATGTGGTAAATAAGAATAAACAATTAAGGCGGGGCGTGGTGGCTCACACCTGTAATCCCAGCACTTTGAGAAGCCAGGGCAGGTGGATCACGAGGTCAGGAGTTCGAGACCAGCCTGGCCAATATGGTGAAACCCCATCTCTACTAAAAATACACAAATTAGCTGGGCATGGTGGCGTGTGCCTGTAGTCCCAGTTACTCGGGAGGCTGAGGCAGGAGAATCGCTTGAACTTGGGAAGCGGAGGTTGCAGTGAGCCGAGATTGTGCCACTGCACTCCAGCCTGGGCAACAGACTGAGAATCCGTCTAAAAAAAAAAAAAAAAAAAGAAACCATTGAAACCTCTCGGAAAAAGCAAATAAACAAAAATCAATACACATCTGGCTATCTTAGCAGTTAATTCTTTCAAAAGGTTTATAGTTTTTAATGTTGAATTTTCTATATCAAATATTGTAATATTTAATAAATACAAGGACACTGGAGTTAAATGTAAGATTTTTCATCTTATTTCATTACCTGAGTCTGTTATTGCTGGGCTTCTCAGTTCTTTCATTTAATCTTAAATGTGAAGCTAATAATTTTCCTTTCTAAGTCAAAAATAAAATATTAAACAGAGAAAATTTGTTCACAACTTCCATCTAAGTAAAAAACATGGTGTTCAAGGTCTGAAAACGCTTTCCTAGATTATAGATTGTAAGCATATCATGCTGATAATAACAAGTAGTACATAATGATTTACGAGTTGCACATTACACAGAGGGAATAAGAAAATAAGGATCCTATTTGCTAAATAGCTGTTCTGTGAATAAGAGAATAAGGATACTATTTGCTAAATGGCTGTTCTGTGACAGCAGCCAAAATAGTAATAATAAAAATATATCATATTTTACTAATCCTTTCCACCAGATTGAAGTAGCCATTTTATCATATAATTCAAATAAGAACATTGAGGTTTAGGATGATTCCAAAATTGCCTTCCACCTATCCTTTCACCAAATATTTGGTTGAGAGAGCTGATCTCATAGAATATTGTCTGTCTCTGTCACATTGAAGAAGGTAAATATATATTTTCTGAAATATATTAATCTACATTACTTCTATGCACAGGAGATGATTTATTCTGTGCTTCCAAGTATTTATGTTGTTCTTGCCTCAGGCCAATTCACTAAAATTTTGTATGCTTTGATATTACTAGTCTAGTCCTTCAGAAAATGCCTTCACTGAATTTCATTTCAGAAGATTGTTTTAATAAATGGCCAGGTAGAATTCATTATTGCATTCTATGAAACAGTATTGCTGCGGACAGAGTCCAACATATCCCTCTGAAATACTTCTAGGAAGTTCAATGAGAAAATTATTTTGAGAGAAATTCAGAGTAAGAGAGTTGTGATTGATTGGAAACCAACAGATATAATAACACAATAACATGATAGCTCAATAGCATCATATTAATATATCAGATAATTTGTTTGGAAGATATTTCTGTGTACTAAATTTAAAATTAAATTAATTTGAGAGAATAACAGAAATAATATATCTTCTTTTAATTTGGCACTATAATTTACAATGCATTTCTAAATGTGTTATCTCCATTTTTTCTCATAGCAACCTCAGGAGGTTGTCAGAAAAGTATAATTATGTACATTTTCCAAATTACATTACATTTTCCAAATAAGGAAGTAATTATGTACATTTCTGTATGTATATAATTACGCATGTATGTGAAAGGGAAGATTGGCAGTTTTCAATAACTACTTGCTTATGAGCCTGGAATTAAAGTTTGATTCCTATCTTTGAATCCAATGTTCTTTCATTATGCTAAACTGCATTTCTTTCAGTTTTTAGTCCATTCCTCTTAAGACATTGATCTATCTTTAGTATTTGGTGTGGGAGGTGGCCTTTCTTAAGGGAGGGGAAAATGATGGCTTCATATCCATAGTGCTTCATTTGCATATGAGCACAGGCAGCTCATCAGGGAAGAGTGAGCGCTGACACAGGAGAGAATTGGTCTGAAATGTTGGGTTTACTTCTTATTAGCTGTGCGACATTGGACATTTTAAATGGAGAGCTACTAATAAGGTTATTGTAAATTTTGAAAGTAAACTTATTTTGGTGGTTGATTCAAAAAAGGTAATACGTGATGATGACTAATAGCAATAGGTATAGTCATTGTAATAGTTATTATATGATAGTGTTTGCAAGGAGACAGTGAAAATAATATAAGGAACAGATTGATTCTGCCCTTGGTACTCACAAACATATCTATATAATCCAGGAATATGATGGTGTTCCATTTTGTTGAGTATTATCTACTTAAAGTCAGTAACTATTAAAATTGAAAATGCATGCTTTTGATTCTGCAATACCATTCTTGGGAAACACTCCTATAGATATTATTGGATATAAGGATATCTGCATAACAATATTTGTTACAGCAATATTTGCAGAGGCCTAACCTATAGCAACCTTACTGTCTGTCACTGGGGAAATGCTTGAAGACATGTTCATCTCTATTAAATTTGTAGGATGGAATTGTATGTAGTTATTTAAAATTGATTATCTCTGTATTTGTTGACCTTGAGGTATAGCCATACAAACTGAGAAAGCAAATTTCAGAATAATGTGTATAGAATAGTACTGTTTCATAAGAACAAGTGAGAGAAATCCATATATTCATGTATATATGGATATATATGTTTGAAGGAAAATAGAGATAACTATTGAATTCTATACAGTAGGATATAAGATCAGCATTCTTAAAGAAATAGGATTGGGGGTTTGGGTAGAGTTTTTTTTTTTTTTTTTACCTTTTATTTTTTTAAATCGTTGCAATATGCCATTAGTTACAGTGAACCCATGAATCAATTAGAATGCTTTCAGTTGCATGCAACAGATTACCTAAATAGAAATAGCTTAACCCTAACAAAGTGATTAACTCCAAAGAACTTTGTTCCGACCTTTTCTGCCTGTTGACTTTCATCATCATGTTGTTCCCTCACAATTCTCATGGTTTCAAAGTAACCACCCTCTCACGACATCCCATCTGTGATGGTTAATAGCATGTGTCAGGTTGAGTGGTCTAAGGAATGCGCAAGTATTTGGTAAAACATAATTTAAGGGTGTGTCTGTGAGAGTGCTTCACAAAGAGGTTAGCAGTGAGCCAGTAGACTGAATGAAATCACCCTCGCCAAAGCAGCTGGGCATCATCCAATCTGTTGACGTCCCACATCGAACAAAAAGGAAAGGAAGGGTGAATTTGCTCTCTCCGGTTGAGCTCTGATATCCATGTTTTCCTGCCTTTTGACATTGGAGCATCTGATTCTCTGGCCTTCAGATTCTAAGACTTACACCTTCCCTCCCTATTTTCAGACTCAGAGGGAACTACACCACCAGCTTTCATGGTTCCCTAGGTTGCAGATGACAGATTGTGGGATTTCTTAGCTTCCATAATCATAGGAACCAATTTCCATAATAAATATCCTCTTATATAGCTATGAATCCTATTGGTCCTATTTCTTTGGAGAATCCTAATACACCATCCTATGTAATGATGTCCAAAAGCAGAGAGGGCGCTCTCACTCTCTTTCTCTGCTTGTCTTTCTCTTTCTCCCTCTCAAGGCTTTGACAAAAGCCAAAAACCCCTCAGCAGTATTCCTTTCAGCTTTCAAACCACTTTGTCCAAGAAAGGCTGAGAAAATGAGGATGGATTTTTGCAGAGTCTGCCGTGGGAAGCAGAACTTGGCAGTGGGGAAACGAGGGTGGAGGGAGGGGAAGACTGCAGGGAAGGCAACGAGGAGAGTCTTCCACAGCCCTTTACATTTTTACTTAAAACAAATATAGTGCTTTTGCAAACTAGAAAAAAAATAGAACACATAAAAAGTAGGAAAAAAAAAGAACAAAAACGATTCCAATTTAAAAGTCTATGATGTGCGCATTTGTTTAAGACATTTCCCAGAATGTTTCGTGGGCATTCCCAGCAGAGGACAGAATAGACAGAAATCTGCTCTGTTTTAGGATGAGTCCACTGGTGGGCCAGGACAGCTCTCAGAGACACACAGACACTGGGCCACAGAGGACTGGGTCAAAGCAAAATGCACCTCTCAGAGCCTGCACCACTGCGTGCGAGACAGCTGTTTTAGGTTTATTGAGTCTCCACTTCGGGTCACCACCTCATTGGCACAGATGGAACAGCAACTCTCCCTGAGGGACATGGGCCCCACTTCTGGGAGAGGAGAGGCGTGCTTGTTGTCCTACAGGATCCAGGAGGGGGAAGCTGCAGCTCTCGGTGACAACGTGATGGTCACGGCTGATGTGGAGGTGGGAGAGCTGCCCACGCCTAAACTCACGGACTCCACATTCTGTGAAGAGTCCACTGCTAACAAACTAGTGTGTCATGCTAAGGACAAGGGCCGCCTCCCTTTAGTAAGTTGTACCATAACAACAGCTTGGTTACTGAAGGAAAAACAAAGAGACAGAGTTTTCTTTGTGAAGTGAAACTGTTTTGTTCAGTGTCGTTTTTGTGGCTTAGGGTGACGCTTGGGAAGCCGCCAATGAAAAGTGCCCAGGTGGGGCAATGCTTGCCTGCCTTAACATCTCTTCAGCACTCACCTGGCAGCCCCTCCAGGTAAAGACCCAGAAACTGCTTGATGCAAAACTGTTTCCAAAGAAAGAACACTAACCTGGAAGGGATATGACAGACCGGTTTTGTCGCCCCCATCTACCACTTACTGACCCTGTATGGACATGTCCATAGAGATCATTTTTGCCACATAAAAAACAATGTTCTGTTTGCTGTGCTTCAGCCAGCTCAGCTCTGATGGGCACGACGCCCTCCACACTGGTCACCCCGGAGCCTGCATCTGCTCTGAGGCCCCTGCCGAGGCACCTGCCTGAGACTCAGGTCTTGGCAATTCTGCAGTTGCATTGAAGAGAAAAGGAGGATGACCCTCTTGGCTTTTCGATGTGCTTTGTAAGAGGAGCTCCCAGAAGGTTAAACTGGGCCTCCTCATATGGCACAAATTGGCAAAACAACTCTTTTAACTGATGCACGAGGCTCTGGTGTCCACATTTAGAGTAACTCTGCTAGAATGGGCTCCAGTAACAGCCCTGACTCTAACCCCAGAAACAACCCCTGCCTCAACCCATAGGCTCTTCAGCTAAACCAGGCTCAGTTTACCTGGGTTTTTCACCTCTGTGCAGAGTTCTCTCACAGAAGTCCTACAGCTGACTACCACAATTGGGCTTCTGCACTCCCTTAGACATGTCTGTTCTTTTCCACACCAGAAGACCTCTTAGTAAACACCAAGTAAATGCAAATATATTCTTACATGAAACACTAACCCTTAGAACAATGTGCCAGGTATAATAACTAAGTCAAATATTTGGCTTGACAGAAACTCTCGTGAAAAAAGCTTCTTCATCTTAACGGGAAAGTATTTAGTATACTGCAAATAAATGTGTATTTTCCCTAGATGCTCTTCATCAGAGTAAAGGAGTATCTTTCTATCCCCAGTCTTTGGAAAGTTTTTAATCTTAGAGAAGTATTCAGTGTTTTCCAATGTTATTATTGTTTTGCATCTGTTGAAATTATCATTTTCTTCACTTTGATAATGTAGTGAATTATTTCCATAGTATTTATTTATTTATTTAATCTTTTGAGATGGAGTCTCACTCTGTCACCCAGGCTGGAGTGCAGTGCAGTGTGACAATCTTGGCTCACTGCAACCTCTGCCTCCCGGATTTAAGCGATTCTCCTGGCTCAGCCTCCTGAGTAGCTGGGATTACAGGTGCGTGCCACCATATCCGGCTAATTTTTGTATTTTTAGTAGAGACGGGGTTTCACCACATTGTTCAGACTGGTCTGGTACTCCTGAACTCGTGATCCACCCACCTCGGCCTCCCAAAGTGCTGGGATTACAGGCATGAGCCACAGCACCTGGCCTCAATGATTTTTAAATATTAATGCAAATTTAATCCCCTTGGTTGTGTTGTATTACACATTTTTGTTGCAGATTATGATTTTTGTTTCTATGTTTATGAAGACTATTCATTTTTTTTAGTAGATTTATTGGGTTTGGTGTTATCTTTATGTTGTCCTAAAAAATGGAAGCATCTGTTCTTCCTCTATTTTCTGAATAAATATTTGTAGTATAAAGATTATGTTTTTCTTAAATTTACGGTACCACTAAACATTAAGCAAATTGCACCTGGAGTTTTATTTCTGGAAACTTAAAAAAAATTACAAATCTAAATTCTTTTTTTAGGAAGTGCTACTCAGAATTTTCATTTCTTCTTGAGTCAGTTCAAGTGAGTTGTGTTTTTGTCAATAATTTATCCTTTTTATGTTATAAAATTTATTGGTTAATTATTCATAATATTCATTTGATTTAACGCAATAATGCTGCAGTGGACCTTTTGGTACAAACATTTTACGTGCACATATGGTAGTCAAAATAGATTCAGCAGTATTTATCAAAAGCAAAATATACATATTTTTGGATCACCAGTTCTATGACTAATAATTGACCCTACAAATATGCTAATGCATTACAAAATGCCATAGAGTTAGTTTGTAATAAGGAAGACTAGAAACAACTTAACCATGCATTAAATTAGATGAGGTTAATCTACAGATTTAAAATTAATGTAGCCTTTAAAATGAGCAAACAAGAAAACACACAGATTAAAATAAATAGATATGGAAATATCTTCATGATAAGCTACAAAAAGAATATTCTCACTTGTGTAGAAGATCTAATTCAAGTGTATGTGCTTATATGAGCAGAGATTACTTGTAAGGTTGGAAGAAAACAAAAACTACAAGACGAAGGTCACTTTTATTCCTTCTGAATTTTGTAGGGTTTTCATGTTCTTCCTACTCTAAAATGGATTTTAAAAACCCTTAAAAATAAAAGATAAACTTTATAAAGCATGTGCACTTTATTTTTAATAAATAACACTGTTTTTTTTTCAAAGCCTCTATACCAAATACAAACCCACCTACAATATATGAAAGTGATGTCTTACCAATTCTGATTTTCTGTGGAAAAATTATTTGCTTTTATTTACATTTTCATAAGCATGAGTGTTGTTTTACAACCTTCCAGGTATTTATAAGACATTTATTTTTCCTTATTTGTATGAAATACATACTTCAGTGTTTTACCACTTTTTTTTTTTGAGTTGTGGACATTTAGATCTTTTTTCTTACTTCTGCATTTTCTCTCCACATTATGAAAATTAAGCCTTCCCTTCATAATGTTTTTAGTTGGTGCAATTTTTATATAGCCAAATTTATCATTATTGTTATGGGGTTTTTTTGGTCCTACTTGAACTTTCTTCAATAACAGCATGTACAAATCCATTATTTTTCTGAAGTGTTTTTAGAGTTTTAACGTTTTACTGTGAAAATCATTGATCTAGCTACCTTTTTGTTTTTATATAAGCAGTGAGATAGCAATTAAGATTTATAACCTCTTCTTGGGCTGGTTGCAGTGTCTCAGGACTTGAGGTCAGGAGTTCAAGATCAGCCTGGCCAACATGGTGCAATCCCATCTCTAGTAAAAACACAAAAATTAGCCAGGCATGGTGGCATGTGCCTGTAATCCCAGCTTAGGAGGCTGAGACAGGAGAATCGCTTGGACCTGGGAGGTGGAGGTTGCAGGGAGCTGAGATCTCGCCACTGCACTCCAGCCTGGGTGGCAGAGTGAAACTGTCTTTAAAAAAAAAAAAAAAGTATCACCTTTTCTCTTAGGTTGCTTAGATGTTCTTCTAATATCACTTCTTAACTATTATTTTTGCCTTCTGATTGAAATGCTTACTAAATCCTAATACCTATGTGGGATTGTGTCTGAACTTTCAGCTGGTCCATTGCTCTGTTTTTCTTTCCATATACTAGCACTAAATTATTACTTGAAAAGTATTTTTTTTTATATCTGGTGAGGTATGTGCCCAACCACACCATTACATACAATATGCTTTTGAATTGATTCTGAAGTTCTTTCTAGTTCTGGTATTTTCTGGCTATAAATTGATAAAGATTTGACATTTTTAACAGACTGTCTTAAGTTCCCGAAATTTTTGTTCAAGAGTAAGAAACTATTCATCTTATTCAATGTTGTTCCCATATTACCAAGTAGTATCTAGGAGAGACACAATAAATATATTTGCAGAACGAATAAGAAGTAATTTTCCTAATGAACCTGCAGTTGGACACAGACCTCCATACAAATCTCTGCTCTCTGGGTCTGTTGTCGAGGTTACAGGAAGTAATATATGTGAGAAAGCATTATTCAGGATCTAGCACATAGCAGGAACCTGATATTTAATAGTTTTATCTTACTACCCTTACACTTAAATTCTTAAAAATTTTTTAACTCTGGAAACAAATCACTTTAAATAGAAAGTGTAGGAATTTAAAAATATCTAACCTGCTTTTTTTTTTTACTTTTTCAGTAGACAAATTCATCATAAACCAAATTAGGAGGGCAAAATTAATTAAATTCACAAGATAAGTCTTAAAGACCTATATTTTTCTTGTTATCTCCATATTGTCCCTGACTAATGGAATTATATCCACTGGCTGACAAATAATTAGATGTCTCTGCATCTAATTACTAAGAAAATTAGGGCATTCCGCCTAGACCATACGTACATTTTCCATAACAGAAATTCCAAGCATACATTTGGGGGACTATGTCATTCTATTATTGCTTTAGATATATGGCAGGGTTCTTTTAGACTAAGCAATAATTGAAAATTCACTTAAACTACTTTTATTCTAAAGAAATTTTTTTTTCATTTATGTTGGAGAATGACTCATACCACAGAGAACCCGCTTTTTGGAATAACAGCCACTTAGATTCACAAGATCCTATGATATTCAATATTCGAGTCACCTTTCTAGAGGAAGAGATTGTATTTCCTTTATTTTTGGACTGAGATGAAATGCATCCTTCCTTCTCTGGTGCAAGAGGGACTCACAGTCTCCTGCCTATGAATTGCATGTTTTGCTGCCAGCAACACTTTAGCTGCTGAAATATTCATACAAGAGCCTGGGCTTGTGTTGCAGTGATTCACATGAGGGGAAAAGGAAAGCTGTTATTTTGAACGTAGGGGTGAACTTGAGCTCAAGTAAAGCTTTGGCACTGATTTTAACTTTGAGGAAAACCAAAGATAAAGGAAGATAGTTTTTCCTGGCTAGGGCGCTGAATTTCAAAGTTGGGTTTTGAGTGAGCTGCTAAGTTGTAATTCCTGATGCAGAAGTTTCAAGAGGCAGCAGGGGAAATCAATATTCACATGAGGCCGAGTCGAAAGGATTGCCCATCGCAATCTTCAGGTGGTCTTCCCTTTGCATAGGAGCCTGGGGGCAGCAAGGAACTGAGTGGCAAGCAGCTGTGCTGCACCTGGCATCTGAATCCAAAGATGACGTTGGCCCTGACGTCATTCCCTTCCAGCCAGTCCCAGCGTTGAATGCTCACTACTGAAATTTATAAAATGTGGCACCCAAATGCCTTAAGACACTGCGTGTCTGTGTTTATAAATACCTACACATGCCTGGGTGAATAGTGTGTACACAACAGGGATGGGACAGCCAAACACCTGCTTTCTATGCTGTACAATTCCACTTGGCGTTCTATGATTTTTCTGGGAGTATTTCAGAATCAGTTCCTTCTACAATTTCATATTTATGCTTCATTGCCACAGTTATTAGAAACACCTGAAGTCTAACTGAAGCATTGCTTTATCTCCCCTGCTCCCCTTTAATTGATAAAGATGTTGAGAGAAAGGGATCCTTTATTGAAGACGAACCTGTATTCCCTGCTAATGAGCCAATTCCCTTGTCACCCCTGATAGGGAAGATGCTACTGTTGTGCGCTTGCAATAGTTAAGATACTAGAGAGGGAAAAAGTTACAGGTGACATATTGAACATCTAATAGGAGCAGACATCATACACAGATTTTGCCCTTAAAGGTAGCTGGGATGTGAGTAAATGTGCATTGTTCTGGTATCGCAAGACAAATTTCGAAAATTTCTAGAGCTTATTGTTGATACATCCCCTTCACCAATTTAAAAACTGAACATCCTTGAGATTTTACTTTTATGCAATTTGACTTCCCCAGTCTAGACCCCAGAGAAACCTCCTGAGCACATATATCAAGATGAGCCTGGGAATGTCACATGCAGCAACCTTTACATTAATAGTGAGTAGGCAGATGGAGGAGAGACATATTAAGCAAAACCCAGGGCTCTCTGGGGCAAAGACAAGACTGCATTCATTTTGACAGCTCTCATTGGAAGGAGGGGCTAGAGCTGCTGCTCTGCTAGTGTCTTCTAGTCTCTGGACTCCCCGGAAAACACTTCCTGGAGCTCCTCCTATCCCCTCCCCTCCTAGCTTGCTTCTACTGACATATTTAAAACTACCTGGGGAGCTTTTTCTTTCAGGGCATGTGTTTCTCATTGTACATGTGGTGTGAAGATCACAGAAGAGAAATGCGAGCATCTACAATAAATACTACATGAACCCAGAGATGCACAAAGGCCCCTGGACATTAACAGGTGAAATGCCCATCAATCCCTGACACGGGCAGGCTTCCACACTGGCATCCTCATGCCTCTTTGTGCTTGGATCAGATATATGCCTGGGGATGCTCCAGGCAAGTTCTCTGGTTTAGGGGACAGGTACATCCTGGGGACAGGCATATGTCTCCTCTGGCCATGCAAACTGAAAGATGGCGTAAAGGAGAATGGAGTTGATTAATCCAAACAATGGGAAGATGCAAGGTCTGTGTCCCTTACTTCTGAATTTCACCATAAGACTAGTTTTCAGCTTTCAGGGTATGTACAATCATTGTAATGTGGTGTTTACTCTGTGTGTTTTAATTGCAATTATTCATATTAAGCTGAATAAGAGTAAACAGTTACTTCTAAAGGAAGAAAAAAATAGAAGCTGAGTGACTTAATGCTACTGTGTGTACATGCTGAAGTTGGCTTTCTGTTTACAGAAGGGTCAGCAGATAAGGCTGCTGAAACTGTGCAAAAACCATAAAATATCATTAAATCATTCTGGCTTGCTCTAATGTAAAGGTGGTTCAAACCCCAGAAACAGGGCTGAAGGATTCATCCATAAATTTATGATACAAAATTGGAGCTTGTGCTAGGAGAATCCAAAATCAATGAAAATTGGGAACTAAATGTTATAAACATTCGCCCAGAATTATTGAAAAAAATGTTAGTGTATTTTATTTGGGAAAAACATGAAATACTTCTAAACTGAAAGGAAGTGTTAATAGTTCTTTTTCATATGCCTGAGAAAAAGGGAGAAACACATTTCCAGGTAGAAAAGTAACTAAGATTATTGTTATTCATAATAAAATAACATTTTAAGAGATCATGTAAGACATTCAGCCAAATTTGAAGTGAATTTTTAATAGTACTAAACAAAGCACTACGCACTTTTTATTTATTAATTTTTGGTAATGGCCATATTTCCTCCCATAGTAACATTGTATGATGTGTTCACTTACATTTCTTTGATAAGATTAGGGTAGGTTTAAAGAAAAATCATTTTTTTTTGTTTTTGCAAAATTAAAGACAGCTAGGATTCGCAATTGTACAGAAGTACAGACAAATACTAACATTTCTCAACTCTCTTTGCCTAAGTTCAGACACAATACTGTTGTGTCTGAAAACAACAATATTATTGGGGATAAAAACATTTAATTTTTAAAACGTGCATCTGGCAGTGATTAAGACCTGTATTGTGAGTTGATTAATTTGACATAAAATTAAGAATGCTATTCCTAGTGTAAATGGTGCTTTTCCTATAAATGAGGAAAGAGAAAAGAGGTATTTCAATTTTCTTTTATGCCTAGCTTGTAATTCTTTCATTAAAAGCACTAATTTGTTTGTCTACACTAATTTTTCTGTGAAGCTGCTTATTTTACTATTATTTAATGGAAAGTGCTCCTTTTCATAATTTATAGAGTCTTCTCTGTAAGGCATGGGAGAAATGAGTTACTTGGATGAGATAATCCTCAGCATTTTGCTAGAGATTCCAAACCTGGTGTTCAGTATTAAAGGTGACCTTTCCTGCGAGGGGATGGAAAGTGGAATATGTCTATTAAGGAGTTGATGAACTCTAACTGATATAAATGTGACTTGCCATGTTGGATTTTGTACAGCAGAAAAAACATGACATTCACAATTACCCTTCTCTCTAACTCTTCAAATTCCTTTTAAATCAATCAAGCCATATTACCACCAATTTAGAGTAAAAATGTTATTAGGTCATTATTTCAGTGAAGGATTCTATGAAATTATTTTCTAGATGTCAATAATTTGAAAAAAAACAAGGCAAAGCATGATCATCCATTGAAGGCACTGAAGAAAACCTTCTCAATCTGATTCTTTACAGAAGTTTGATCTCTTTAAACACGTTCTGCACTATTGCTATCCCACCATGGAACTGCTCATTTGTACATTTCCCAGTCCTTTTTTTCTTAATTTGAGAAACTGTCTTCCTCTCACTCTGTTTCCCAGGGTGGAATGCAGTGGTGCAATCTCCTGGCTTACTCCCAGGTTCAAACCATCCTCCTACCTCAGCTTCTCCAGTACCCGGAACTACAGACATGAGCCACTGTAGCTGGCTCTATTTATTTATTTATTTATTTATTTATTTATTTAAATGACACTGGAGCTGTCATCTGCTCCTACTCATTTCTGCAACTCAGAGAACCAAGAATTGGAATGAGCCAGCTGGGTTAGAAAACCACAAACCACAGTTCAAAACCCAAATAGGTGTGGGTTTTGACCCAAAGATCTGAAGTCATCCTAGTCAAGGGCCAGAGGCAGCCAATAAGAGAAAATATTCAAGGGAAACTGAAAGCATTTGGCTGAAGAGTTCCCGAGCCAGGCCTCAGACTGTATCGGCTGTCTTGGTACTTTCTGGATGGTGGTGGGAAAATTAGCTCCTGAAAATGATGGGCTGGAGGCAGGCTGGGCAAGCCTTGGTCACTGGGACAGATCTCAGCAGGGCTGGGAGCGGAATCAAGTAACTGGCTCTCTGAGAATCACCCAAATCAATCAATAATGATCGATTATGCCTGCTTTCCAGACTGCTGGCTGCTTCCTGTGTGATCCTGGGTTAGTGAGTGAGTGGGACAGCCCCAGGGATCCATTTTCCATTGCATGGCTTGTCATCTGGTGACAGAGTTTGTATGACTTGTGTTGCAACATGATTGAACTTAGACTGGTGGTTCCTGAACATGGGGTTTTCAGATTCCATCTTCATGATGCTCTATTGAAATTGTATAGAGCAGTGCCTGCCAATGGAAATGAAATAGAAGCCAGTTGTGTAATTTTAAGTTTCCTAGTAGCTACATTCAAAAGTCAAACACATAAATGATTACATTTTTTAGGATATTTATTTAATCCGGTATACTGAAAATATTATTATTTCACCATGTCTCTGGCCACATTTGCAAGTATTCAGTGAGCACATGTGGCTCAGCGCAACATGTTAGAAGCATAGAATATTTACTTTAATTAAACCTAATATTTTTTACTTTAAAATTTTTACTTTGAAATTTTCATGTCATCAGAAAAATCGTTAAGTTCGAGGTGATAGACATGATTTTTTCTACCATTTACCATTCCTTATCTACTAAAATGAAATAGAATATCCATTTGTATACTACTTAAACTTACTTTAGATGATACTAGTGATACATGTACAAGATATGGAAAAATCGGAATGAACCAATTAAAGTTAGTTATAGAAAGCTCTATATCTCAGAAAGAATGTTTTTCCCTGAAATCCTTTAAAAATGATTTAAGAAGTCATAATTTCCATAATACATTCTGAAAAGTAAGAAAACTAAAGCATGAAATTAGAATGAAGTTTCAGCCAGCTTGCCTTGTCCACAGCCATTTTCCGTTTTTCAATTGTCTCTGCCATGTTCTAGCATTACTCGTCACAGTGTTTCAGCTCACATTTAGCCTCTGCTACATCAGGGGCTCTCAATGATGACCCTGTTGTCATTCTAGTTTGGATAATTCTGTGTTATGGAGGCCTGGTCTGTGCATTGTAAGACGTTTAACAGCATCCCTGGTGTCTACCTACCAGATACCAGTCACATCCACGTCCAGCCATGACAACAAAAACATCTGTAGATATCGCCATGTCTCCCTTGGGAAGGAAATCACCCCTGGTAAAGAACAAATGGTCTAATATCTTACCTGTCAGACTGTACATGTTATACTTTTCCTTGGTGCCAATGTTGGCTCTCCTTTAAGTTTGATTTTCACTTTTACATAGAATTACATTTGCTCCCTTCCAGTACATTTAAACACACAATCTGTTTCAGCCTGCCCCTCCCCTAAGATTGTATTCCAGAGGCAGACAACATGGGGGTAGGATGAGTGGTTGGGACTCAGGACAGGAACGAGAGTAAATTGCTTGGTATTATGATAAAGCCCTGAACAGAGGCAGTGTCAGAAACTGGAAGCCAACGTGTAAATGTGCAGAATCAATAGCCTTCTTGAATAGGCTGGTTCACAATCCCTTAGCCAGGATTTTTAAATGCTCTCCCCAGTCTCTGGGTTAAACTTCATCATATGTCTCCTTCCAACTTGCCAAAGGCATATTTACTATTTTAAAAGGAAAATAAACAGAACAGCAAGAAGAGTAAAACACTTTGTTGATTGAAAGATTTAAGACCAGCCTGACCAACATGGTGAAACCCCATCTCTACTAAAAAAATACAAAAATTATCCAGGCATGTTGGCACCCGCCTCTAATCCCAGCTACTCAGGAGGCTAAAGCAGGTGAATTGCTTGAACCTGGGAGGCAGAGGTTGCAGTGAGCCGAGATCGTGCCACTGTACTCCAGCCTGAGCGACAGAGTAAGACTCCATTTCAAAAAACAAAAAAAAGAGAGAAGACAGATTAAATAATTAGGTAGTGATTGACGTGTTTTGTAGATTCCTTTCAACTTTCTGAATACACATTTTGCCTATTGTAAATAATGAGAATTTTACCTTTCTGTGATTAAAGGCACTAATGCGGATATCTATGAAGCTCAGCATACCTGAAACAAAACAAATATGCAGAAAACCACATCTAGGACATCATAGCCAGAATACTTAGAGCCAAATGTAACAAGCAATGACAAATGATAGTTGGTGTATCCTCAGAATCAATGTGGACAGCTCAATAGAAAAACTGTTTTGAGAATGGTGGGATGGTGGGCACCTTGTCAGGTCTAGGGTGTGGTGATCTGGTGTTCTGGAGATCGGTGATGGAAAATCCAAACATTTGCATATATTCTTTCTTCCCCATTTATGAAAATATTAACATATTATCTTAGAACCAGAGCATGGCCTTAGGAATGAATAGAACATTGTCTATGGAAGCCATGTGTGTTACTCCTGCTTGAAATCTTCCCGTACCCCCAGTTTTCTCCATCACCTAGTGCAAGGAGACTTAGAAATGCATTATTATAAATTCAGCCCCTAGACTTTAGGTGTTGACATTATTTGAAGTGCAAATAGTGTCTAAAAGTAAAATCTTTAAGATTTTATTTTATTAAGTAACTAAATTCATTATGTACCCCAAACTAACAGGTTTTGATTTTAGAAAAAAATTACAAGGGCATTCAGTTGGATAGGGAGCTGGGAATAAATGTACCATATTTTATGAACACATTAACCTTTTACCTAAGTAATAATTATCTGATATGGTTTGGCTGTGTACCCACCCAAATCTCACCTTGAATAATAATCTCCAAGTGTCAAGGATGGGGCCACGTGGTGACAGTTGAATCATGGGAGTGGTTTCCTCCATACTGTTCTCATGATAGTGAATAAGTCTCACGAGATCTGGTGGTTTTATAAATGGAAGTTCCCCTACTGTGCACAAGCTCTCTTGCCTGCCACCATGTAAGACTTGACTTTGCTCCTCACTTTCCCTGACCCATGATTCTGAGGCCTCCCCAGCCATGTGGAACTACGAGTCAATTTTACCTCTCTCATTTATAAATTATCCACTCTCGAGTATGTCCTTATACAGCATGAGAATGGAGTAATACATTATCCCAAGTTAATACATTGGTACACATTTAAAATTATATTTTAAATTTTCCATAATGCTGATATCCATTATTAAACACATTGTTATTTTTATTTCTTGTATTACATTTTCACATATTTGTTCTTTGAAAGGCTATATTTGATTTTTCTCTATTTTTTTATATTTTTTCCTAATATTGCAATATCCAGTGCAAACATTGAATGTGTACCTGCTCTTCTTGCCATTCTTTTTTATTCCTATCAATCACTCTGTGACAGTGCTATTTCGTTCAGTAACAGGTAAACACTAAGGGGCTAATCATGTGTTTCAATTTCTAATTTTTTCTTGTGTGAGTCTACTTACTAAAAGTCATGATAGCTTAGTATGCTTTTCTTTCTTTCTTTTTTGAGACAGGGTCTCACTCTGTCTCCCAGGCGGAGTCCAGTGACGCGATCACAGCTCACCATAACTTCGACCCAGGCAAAAGTGATCTTCCCACCTCAGCCTCTCAAGTAGCTAGGACCACAGGTGCCTGCCACCATGTCTGGCTAATTTTTGTATTTTTTTTGATAGAGATGGGTTTTTGTCATGTTGCCTAGGTTGATCTGCAGCTCCTGGGCTTAAATGATATTCTCATCTCAGCCTCTCAGAGTGGCGGGGTTACATACGTAAGCCACTGTGCCTGACCTGATAGTTCAGTTTTCTTAACCACATTAAAAATATAACTAGGATCTTAAACTGACACTTTAATTAAGAAAGTTTTCATTCATTTATTCATTAATATGTCAACCTATTCAAATTAAAATGTACATTACATTTATATTAAACATTAATCATTAGTTAATTTATTAGATAATCCATAACACTTTCTTTTCATGGATAAGCAGTTACCTGCCAGTGGCAGGGATGGCATTTATATTCTGGTGTTGGGAATGGCCCGCCATATGGCATCCTGCATGCACGCTGGGAAGAAGCAGTGAGTCGGGTGAGGTCTCATCAGGAGACTGTCCCTGATGCTCACTGCACAACCCTGGGAAAGCTGCTTAACTTTTTCCAGCCTTGGTTTCCAAAACTATATTAAGAGTCCTGTGGAGCTGAGCTATCTCAAGGCATAGTCCACACTTAAAGGTTTCTTATTACTTGTTCCATAAGGAGTAATGGATCATTTAAAAAATAAGATCATCAGATGCTATTTCATCCTCGACCTCCTGTAAACCTTCCTCAGTAGCTTAATGTGAAATGATGAGGAAGCTGCTTCCACTGAAGATGAGCTTTAAAAGATGAAAAGAAAATACAACTAGTTTAACATTTTGCACGAGTTTTCTAATCCTAAGAAATATGAGCATGCTGTTCTGAAACCTGGGTAATCACAGAATATTTAACCATTTGTTTTTAAGACAATGGTGTGCAGAACTCAAAATGACCTCACGTATTAACTGGGGAGAATTTGCCTCCCCTGCCCTGAAGGCTCAGCCAACCTGATCATATCAGTGGGCTTCCTCAGGTCTCCTGAGGAGGTGTAAACACACAATCTTACACCGAATGTGTCAATACTTCTATTACTCTTTCATGTTTGTCTCATTGCCAAAGGCTTACTTTGATCTTAAAACATACATTTTTTCTTACAAAAAAATGTTAAGACACAACCTAGTTCATCCTCTTCTATATCACAATGCGAAGGTTCTGATTTTAATTCCCTACTTTCAAAATCCCATTCTTTCTGATTTTAATTCCCTACTTTCAAAATCCCTATATTCCAGTGATTTTTTTTTCCTGCTATGAAAACAAAAACAACCAGGAGCTAAGTGGGAGTTTTTTTCTAAATATACAGCCATCAGTTACCTGTGAGCCACAGCGATCATTTCTGCCTTCCTGTGACTTGCACCTGGGCACGAGTGTCACTTCTGCACCACAAACTATTCATGTAAACATCTGTTATTGGAACTTTGCTTCTGGATTGGTGAGCAAATCATCCCTTCTAAGAGAGAAAACAATACTTTCGGTAACCTGCTTATCTAGAGCTTCCTGAATGTGCTTGTCATTTCTCCTACCTCAAAGAGGTTAAAAGTCAGTCATGCAGCCATGGTAGGCCATGCTATTTAAAGCAACAGTGAAAAGAGAACAACTAGGATCTTTCTGGACTCATGAGCCTTTACTGCAGCCCCCAGAGCCAACACCACGATGACAGGTTGGGAAAATTGGTGTGTGAATCGTGATGTCCACTTTTCTTGTGTGGTCTGGAATCAGTGCGTTTTAAAGCTGTCAGTTCTTGTAAATACAAAGGGCTCTGACCTCTCTCTGCCTACCTCTGAATTCAATGTCATTTTCTCTTGTACATATGAGATTGTGCTTCCTGCAGACACAATTGCAAGCATCCAGAGAAAAGCATGCCTTTAACGTATGCATCAAGTGTCTTTCACATTTCCATCTTTCTAACAAGCATCCCCTTAAGAATAATGTGACCAACGTAAAAGAATAGGTTATGAAAACAGCTCACACGTGAGAAGCTTGCAGGATCATCTCTTATGAAACATGCCACTATAGATCCTTCACATAATATACCCCCACTGCAAAGGGTAGGGCAAATGACACTTTAAAACCTGCAAAAGAATGAGCAGAGGGAACGTCTCATCTTCTATGCTCATCATCATCATCCTTAGGATGCTTCTAACTAGTATTAGACGTTGAGAGAAAACCACAAACGAATAGTGTATGTATATATGGAAAACAGACCACGCCTTGGCCATCTTGGGTTAACCAAAGTCACTCTATCATCTGATCCCCCTGCCACATATACATTCAAAGCAAAATAAGCGTACAGGCACTGCTCCTTAGAACACATTGGCAAAGAACTCCGTGGGGTAGGGTGGGGATGGGGCTGGAAGTGCATAACTTGTAAGGCCAGAATGTACACATATATATAGTATACACATGTATATATATATATACACACTATCTATATAAACGTGTATATATGTACATACTATCTCTCTGTATATACATAGTGTGTGTATATAGTATAAATATAGTTTATATATACATGAAGTTGTGCTCTTTTTCTTTAATATTTACTGAAACATAAAAATGATAGACACCTTGTACTAGGAAAATGATCATATCTCTTCCCCGTTAACCATGGACCAGAATTACATTCATCTTTGCTGTGTTCCTTTTTGTAAGAGGGGCAGTAAGGGCAGTAGGAGCAGGCTTGCCGGACTAGCACACTATTAGCATTCACTGCACGTCCTGTGGTTGAGATGAGCCTATGGGAATGATTTGCAACTTTTGCTAATTATTCTTTATAGATTTACCAACATATTTGCAACATCTAAGAAAGTAAAAATCCTTGCTGTGATCATGAGCCGGTCCACGTGTTGTTTGTGCCTATGCCTGGATTCCCCCTTGCTCTTCTGCTTCTATCCACTTGCATCTTTTTGCAACTCGAGTACCAACCTTTATCTGATCATGTTCCTGATGTAGATTCCAAGTTCCCGATGCCAAGTCTTCCTGACCTAGATTCCTGGCAACACTGTTCAATGGGTGTTAGATTTTCCCCAATTCTGGGACATTTTCTTTCTGTCTTATTTACCGAATTGCTCTGTGTTTGTGTACACACACATGTGCATGGCTTCAGTATATTCCATAGTGACACCCTATCCATACAAGGGAATATAGTGACTTAGGGTCTTGAGTCATTGAGGAATACTTGCATTTTTCAATAGGGAATGCTGGAATATTGAAAATACTCTAACATGTCAAAGCCTGGCAGTTCTGGAATTTGGATTTTCAGGTTGAATAGCTTGGTGTGATTTAAGTCATTTATTTGGGCATGTGCCCAGCTAACAGGCCAGTCTATGTGGTCTATTTTTATAGGGTTTTGCTCTCACCTGGGCTTAAACTATTATCATTGCAACTGTTTTTCAGACTATAAAGTCTTGTGAGCATATAAATGGCTCTTGACTTTACGTATTTACCACTTATGTGACAATTCATGGATCTGTATTACTTACTTCAGTGAAACAGTGCTAGCCTAATGATGCTCTTCTGGAATCTATGCATCCTTAAATCTCAGGAGTAGCCTTTTAACCATGATAATTAAAGCAGGAGTTGCTGTGAATTACCTGGGTTCTGAAGTACTCCCTAAAACTCAACAGTTGCCTGTGGTATCTGCACAGAAAGCCCCCTTGGATTTGTGGCCCTGGCATGGTCACCGTTGGTAAGTCATATGGCAGAAAACCACAGGATGTACCATGCTGGCTGATTTGCTTTTCCTCACTAACTGTATATTCAATGTCTATTTGTGGTAAGTACCAGACAGTTATAAATTATTGTATTCCAAGTCCTTGGACACATACTTTTAATCTAGAAAACAACCTTTTTTTTTCTTGGATTAGTTATCAGTCTTAGAAATAGCAATAATTCAATTCCTGATGTGTGGTGGCTCATGCTCATAATCCCAGCTACTTGGAAGGCTAAGGCTGGAAGATCACTGAAGTCCAGGAGTTCCAGGCTGCAATGAGCTATGATCATGCCACTGCACTCCAGCATGGGTGACACAGTGAGACCCTGACGCTCAAAGAGAAATAAATAATAAACAGCAAGAATTCAGATATTTAATGTGTTGCTGTTTCTTCTCATGGAATGTTTTGAAAACTCAAGAATGCCAAAGTTATGGGACACACAAGAGAGATGAGCGCAGATCAGCTTTTCAGTGTTTGGGGCTCAGTGTGGCCATATGCAACATCGTCACCCTCCTTCATTGCTCCTTTTCTTTTCTCTTTCACCTTCTGCAGCATTCTCAAGCTCCATTAATTACTGCAGAAGCAAGAGAGATTTTAAGACCAGCCTGTTGGTGATTTCTCTTCACCTCTGAGATCTCTAGGTAGGCTTCCTTAGAAGATGTTTTAAGAAGCTCAGATACCTGCTTCCACTAATGCAGGTACCTTGATCTTTGATTTGAATCTTCTGAAACCTGTTTTACTTTTACACTAGTTCTGAAAAGTAAGACACAATTTTCTCTGCCTTGAGAGACATCACAAGTTGGACCCTCTAGAAACCGACTTTGAGGGGGATATTAGTGTTTTGGATTTTTATTGGAGGTGATCACTGGAGAGAGGAGACAAATTGAGCAGAGAGATAAGTTAGATGTCCCTTTGAACAAGACGAAACATTAGCTAACCTTACATGGAGTTTCTGGCGTGGAAATTACTTGTCACAGTTGTCCCAAATAGTTTGGACCATTATGAAACTCTGTGACCAGTCATTGGATGCGAGTGGCCCCTGAGAACTGCATGTTATTGGGTGAGGATGCTCTCTGAGGCCAAGCCTGATGGAGAAGACAGCTGGGAAGGTACGTCTTTGATGGGAGATCTGAGAGGCATGGTGGCATGGCTCCATGTCTGCCACAAAGAAAATGAGGTCCCATTGTGAAAGTACTCTGCACTTTGAATGTAAGACATTTTTTTGATCTCTCAATAAACATTTGCTGTTTTCTTTATTTTATGTCATAATATAATTAGCTAAACAGTAATGAGTAGGTAGAACATAGAGGATTTTTGGGGCAGTGAAACTGTTCTGCATAATACTATACTGATGGATACATGACATTATATATTTCCAAAACCCATATGATGTACAATACCAAGAATGAACTCTAATGTAAACTATGGACTTTAGTGAATAAAAAGATATCAATATTGGCTTAGCCATTGTAACAAATGTACCACTCCAGTGCAGGATGTCGATAGTGGGGGAGAGTTTGTTTAGGTTTTGAGTGTTCAGGGAGCATATATTAGTCTGTTCTCACTCTGCTAATAAAGATATACCTGAGACTGGGTTATTTGTAAAGGAAAAAATGTTTAATTGACTCACAGTTTCACATGGCTGGGGAGGCCTCACAATCATGGCAGAAGAGCAAGGGACGTCTTACTTAGCATCAACAAGACAGAGTGTGTGCAGGGAAACTCTCCTTTGTAAAACCATCAGATCTCATGAGACATATTCACTATCATGAGAAGAGCACAGGAAAGATCCACCCCCATGATTCAATCAGCTCCCAAACAGGTCCCTCCCATGGGATGTGGGAATTGTGGGAGCTACAGTTCAAGATGAGATTTGGGTAGGGACACAGCCAAACTATATCAGAGCATATGGAAACTCTCTGCACTACCTGATCAACTTTGCTATGAGCCTGAAACTGCTCTAAAAATAAAATCTTTCAAAAAATGATTCAAAAATGGCAGGGTGTATCTAAATACAACAGACTAAAAACAGCATTGCAATCATGAATTTGATTTGCTAACGTGAGATACACAACTTTATGACGGGAAGGGCATGCATTAATTTAGGCATCTTTCTGATTTTGCACATAATGTTCTTTTGAACATTTGTGCAAAGGACAAGTGTATACAACTTAAACATGATCAGACAGACAAACAAAATATACTAACCCATACATCAACTCTGTGCAAATAAGAACACTTACCTCTATGGTCAGGAGGTTTAGAAGATGGAGCTTCTTCCTGTGGGTAGGAAGCAAATGTAGCATTTGATAAGCCAGGAAGTCCTGGCAGCTTTATGTAATGGACAAACTCTGCAACCATATAGGACACAGACTAAATCAAATTCACTTGGTGACTTCCGTACTTATATGATGAATCACTCAACACCAGAGCTTCTGTGGTTCTTGGTCTTCTCATAGTCAACCTCTATTCAACCTCAGCCACCCACTTTCAGTAGAGCTTAGAATGACCAGTAGCTGGGGCATTTCTAAATGTTCACTTGAAGAATCCTGCATTGTCGATGAGAACACATAGACACATGGTGCGGGATAATACATACTGGGGCATGTTGGAGAGTTGGGGGGAGGAGGTGGAACACCAGGAAGAACAGCTAATGGACACTGGGCTTAATACCTAGGTGATGATATGACCTGTGCCGCAAACCATCATGGCACACGTTTACCTATGGAACAAACCTGCACATGTACTCCTGAACTTAACAAAAATTAAAAAAGAGAAGAATCCTACATTCTCGGTCTCATTTCCTACTCTTCCAGCTGGGTTTCTCCAGCTATTCATCAATCTCCAAACCACTCATTCTCTCACTTTTTGCCATCTTTACATTTGCATTGTCTTCCTGCCCCAAGTTGAGAGCTCATGATTTGGACATAAACTACTCCTGTGAATGCATGTTTAACTTCCTTACTCATTTCTTTGATTATTGTATTCACCTTCCAATGCAGAGCCCACTTAATTATCTTCTTACACCAAACAGCTGAACATTATTGAAAAAAAACTCTCAAAATCATTTCAATTGACCTTGCTTGGAATTTATAATCAAAAATACCAAATAAGCACTTGGCATTTGCTGGATCTATCACAATAACAGAGAAAAGACAAAAAGGGAGACAGGAAGTGAGAGCTGAAGTAAGGAAGAGGCAAAGGATAAAAAGAAGAGGAGGAGAAAAAGGAAGAGGGGCAAGTTCTTTCTCCCTCCACACTGTAAGCATTGCTTTCTGCTGGCTGAAACACTGGCCCTTTTGTTGCCCTCATCAGAATAACAGATAAGCATGAAGAAGAAAGAACACCTTTTAGACCAGGCTGGATTGATTCAATCTAGAAAAGATGATGTACTGTCACTGAAAGGAATAATAGACCATGAATGACCAGCGTGGTAGATAAAAGCAAATTTATTTGCAATATGCCAAAAAATTTATTGTTTTGAAATGACTTCCGGAACCACTAACTTGACAGAGGGAAAACAAATGGCAGCTGTGCCATGCCCAGAGCTTGCGTTTCTTTACCTCCTCGGATTTGCTCTTGGATTCGCCAAGCACTCATCCTATTTTTCACATGTTTTGCCATCATCTGTCATATCCCCTGGACAGTTTGCAGAAGCAATAAAACGTAGACTCAGGTCAAGTATTATGAGTCCGGAAAACATTTGTCGAACATATGGCTTATTTTTTCTGTGTCTGGAAAATTAGTAGGATTCTAACCTACACAGTACACAAAGAATATAGGAGCAAGTATTTCCTGGTAAAGTCACAGGAAACTGTTACTCCAACATCATAAAATTTATTTGTATAACAGTCTGTAGATGTGTTCAGGTATTTAGAAAAGCCTCATGTCATGTTACAACTTCTAGATAGTGTGTGCCAGGAAAGTCCTTCAGAACAATGCCTGCAACCAGCCAAGAGCACCCGGTGCAGATGGGAACATTCAAGAAATATTGAATGCATTCGGTGAGTCAACTGCAAAAACAGAGTTGTCTCTTGTAATGTCATTAATTTAATAATTTATCTATAGGATACTTTGGTCCAAAATCATTTTGTTATCTTACAAAGCATCATAACTCTTCACACAAGAGAACATTAGTTGACAATAAATAAGAAGATAAAGCAAAAGAAAATAAAGACAGGAAAATAATCTCTAAAAATTAAGAAAAAAAGAAGTGTAATTTATGGATTACTGGAAAGTTTTAGATAAAGTTAGCAGCACTTTGAATATTATTTGAAATTACAAGAATTCATCATAGATTATTTTTCTGATAATTCTTAAGTTTCTACAATTTGGTTTCTACCTTTTCTGTAATCTATTCTATAGAGATTCATATGAGACTGTCAAAAATAGAGTTGCAGGGGTCATAGCTCAGTACGGGAAGGAATCACCTCCGGAATTGTCTCCTAGGAAGGTACCTCTGGTCTGATTTGGGGAATAGTTTTCTCTTCTGTACGTGTGATTAGAATGCATGATTTTTGCTTTTTTAGGAGGTCACACATTAAAATTATTTTCACCATTAAGTGTGGTTGTAATTTCTGGAAACAGTGACAGTCATCCAACAAATTCTGCTGAAAAGGTTTATGATGACAGCCAGCTGAAGAACATGGGGCTGGATTTTAAAAGCAATGATAAAGGGTCATAATACGTAGCTAATTAGATGACTGCAACTGAAAATTTCAGAGAAAAATTCCAGAAACTTAAAAATACAAAGCAGCATCATCAGGACACAGGTATGATTTCTGCGGGTCGTCCTTTGGAAGAGGGCCTAGTGATGCACATGTGCTGCTGTGTTTACCTGAAAACGTCTCTGCCAGGAGTGGCTCTAGATTAAGGAAGAAATAAGGAGGAAGAGCCAGTGAACCCCGGACCAGGAACAAGATGCACAATGCTGGGAAAATTGATGACATTTAAAGACAGACTATGGATTGTATCCTATTATTGCATTAATATTAAGTTCCTGGTTTTTATGATAAAGTTTGTGGTTATGGATAAGGAGGGAAACCCTTGTTAGAAAATGCACACTGCATTATCAGAGGGAATTAGAGACACAGGGTGAGAATGGCTTAAAGTTACCCTCAAATGGTTCAGAAATACAACATACATAACATGTAGCTATGTGTGTGTATATACATACATATATATGTATATGCATCTGTATGTGTGTATATACATACATATATATGTATATGCATCTGTATGTGTGTATATGTGTTTATGTGTGTATAGATATATAGATATATATAATGAGATAGAAAGAGATGTAAACTAATGAAAACAAATATCAAACATTGGTGAATATACATAAAGGATGTTTGGGATTCCTTGTTCAATTCTTGTACCTTTTCTGTAAGTTTGAAATTACATCAAAGTAAAAGTTTTTTTTTTTTTTTTTTTTCCTGAGATAGCTTTTGTTCTTGTTGCCCAGGCTGGAATGCAGTAATGAGGTCTTGGCTCACTACAAACTCTGTCTCCCGGGTTCAAGTGATTCTCTTGCCTCAGCCTCCCAAGTAGCTGGAATTGCAGGCATGTGCCACCACACTCGGTTAATTTTTGTATTTTTAGTAGAGACAGGGTTTCACCATGTCGGTCAGGCTTGTCTTGAACTCCTGCCCTCAAGTGATGCACCTGCCTCAACCTCCCAAAGTGCTGGGATTACAGGCCTGAGCCACCATGTCCGACCTCAAAATCAAAGTCTAAAACCCCAAATAACAAGAAAAAGTAGTCTTTGTGTGTGAATGTACGTCTGTGTGTGTCCATGCATGCAAAACTCATGTATGCATCTAGTTTGATAATGGAAGTCATATATACTTGAACATAAAATTGGGAAAATAAAAGCGAAATCTATAATCTCAACATCTTGTTGCTATCTAGTCACTGTTAGCACAAATTGAGCATCCCAAAACTGAAAAGCCAAAATCTGAAATGCTCTAAAACCCAACACTTTTTGAGCCTAAATATGACACTTAAAGGAGATGCTGCTCATTGAAGCATTTCAGATTTTAGATGTTCAGATTTAGGATGTTTAACTGGTATGATGCAAATATTCATGAATCTGAAAAAATCTGAACTGCATACCTGCTCCCAAGCATTTTGGATAAGAGATACTCAATCTATACATTAAGTAGTTTCTTCTAGAAATTATATATATGTATATAAGTGTGTATATACGTATATATGTATACATGTGTATATATGTATATATGTATACATATATACATTAAATTATACACACATATATGTGTGTGTGTGTGTGTGTGTGTGTGTGTATGTATATGGTTGTTTTGCTTTTGAGATGAGGTCTTGCTCTGGTGCTCAGGCTGGAATGCAGTGACATGATCTTGGATCACTGCAGCCTTGAAGTCTCAGACTCAAGCTATCTTTCCACCTCAGCCTCATGAGTAGCTGAAACTACAGGTGCATGCCACCATGCCCAGCTAAGTTTTGTATTTTCTGTAGAGACAGGTTTTCGCTACATTACCCAGGCTGTCTTGAACTCCTGGCCTCAAGTGATCTGCCTACCTCGGCCTCCCAAAGTACTAGGATTACAGACCTGAGTCACCATACCTAGCCTAGAATTCTTATAAATTATAGATATCTTAATAATTTGAGGTTTTAAAAATTAATTTCATGCCCAGTATTTTTATTTAACATTTTTCTTAAGGTTTTTTTCATGTAGTTAAATATTATGCATAATTCTGTGAGCAGGCAAAGTATTGCTGACTTGGGATCAGCTACATTCAGCAAGCTGCCCTACTAACGCGTGCTCTGGGAGGCAGGACCATGTGGTGACAGCTCACAGCCTCTGCAGTCTGCTGACCTGTATTCTGAAGCCAACACTTCCTTGCTGTTGTGATGGTTAAATTTATTATGTGTCAACTTCGCTAGACTATGGTGTCCAGTTGTTTGGTAAAATTCCAGACTAAATGTTGATGTGAAGGTATGTCTCAGATGCAGTTAATGTTTTCAATGAGTAGACTATGAGTAAAGCAAACGGCCCTCCTTAATGTCAGTGAGCCTCAGCCAATGAGTTTAAGGCCTTAGGAGAAATATACTGTCTGCCCAAGAGGGGATCCACTGCCTTGGGGGCTCCAGCCTCCTGGTCTGCTCTGCTGATTTTGGACTTGCCAGCACCCACAATCATGTGAGCCAATTTCTTAAAATAAATCTTTCTGTCTGTGTCTCACTGTCTCTCTGTCTCTACCTTTCTCTTTGTCTGTCTCTTTCTTTTCTCTCTATACACACAAACACACAGATATATTATCTATTTACCTATCATATATCTATTTATCTATCTATCTATCTATCTATCTATCTATCTATCTATCATCTATTCTTTTTTTCTGAAGAAACCTGGTTAATACAGCTGTGGAATTCAAGTAACTAGTTAAAGATTTTTTGCCTCATTTTTTAATCTATAAAATAGAAATAATGATACTATTTACCTCACAGAGTTGATATGAGAACAAGATTCATCATGGCTTTAATGTGTTTAGAAAATATCTTACTGACCTCATAGCTCACGGGTGTGAGCTATTATTATTACAGCTATTTTACTTCTTCATTTCCAGTGTGGAGACTGTATTTATAACATTAGGATATGCATTATTGTGCATACATCTCCCTATTTATTTCTGTATTATTTCTTTAAAATATATACCAGTGTCTAACCAGGGTCAGTTCCAAATCCCACATGCTGTGGTTTTTACCACCTCTCTGACATCTGCCTCATTTCACCATTACTAGCTCTATTGCCATTCCTCAAAATTAGCAATGCACTTCCCCGTAGAAATTTGTTATTTGTGATCATCTCTCCTGTCCAGAAGCAAGGTATTATACAAGTGCATTTACTTTAGTCACATTATAATGGCTGTTTTCTTTTAAGACCATTCTAGATACTGGATGAAACAGAAGACTCATAATTTCCCCATTCGTAGACTTTACTTTTTATGATGATTTTGACTGAGAAATCTGGATTACATTGTCTGACTTAGCTTAGAAATACAAAGACATACTCAAGTTTTCACAAATAATGGGGCTTGTCATATGAAGAGAAGCAAGTAACAGGATGTTGTCTGAGAGCAGGGTGGCCAGGCCTTGGCGGGCAGATGTGGGGGTGTTGCTCAGGCAACCCTGGCCTTTGATTTTTCTACAAGAGGGTTGTCTCTTATTCTTCATAAACACACTCCAGGATTTGGGGAATCCACATGCCTCCCTTCTCTGGTTGTCTCTGCTTATCCCTGGATCCTCCCCCACTTATCATCTGGTCTTTGGCTTCCTCACATCTGGACTCTGGGTTCTTCCCTGTGAGGGTGCTCCATCCCCTGCGAGGGTATTCCTTGCCCTGCGAGGGTCCTCCATCTCCTGTGAGGGTGCTCCATCCCCTGCAACGGTGCTCCATCCCCTGTGAGGGTACTCTATCTCCTGTGAGGGTGCTCCATCCCCTGTGAGGATGCTCCATCTCCTGTGAGGGTGTTCCATCCCCTGTGAGGGTTCTCCATCTCCTGCGGGGGTGCTCCATCCCCTCTGAAGGTGCCCCATCTCCTGTGAAGGTGCTCCATCCCCTCTGAGGGTGCTCCATCTCCTGTGTGGATGCTCCATCCCCTGTGAGGGTGCTCCATCCCCTGTGAGGGTGCTCCATTCCCTGCAAGGATGCTCCATTCCCTGATGCCTCCACTCTGTCCACAGAGAGGCTCCCATGGGGACCGATTGGCAAAGGATACAAAATCTCAGTTTGTCAGAAGGAATAAGTTCAAGAGATCAATATTACACAACATAAAGACTAAGGTCAATAACAGTATATCATATTCTTGAAAATAAATGTAAATTTTAAGTATTCTCACAAAAAATAGTAAGTATATGAGGTAATGCATATGTTAATTAGCTCAATTTAGCCATTCTATATTGAGATATTGTGGGTTCAATTCCAGACCACAACAATAAAGCAGATATCTCAATACAGAAAGTCACACAATTATTTTTTGGTTTCCCAATGCATATAAAAGTTATGTTTACATCATACTGTACTCTGTTAAGAATGAGATAGCATTATGTTGTTAAAAAATGTGCATATCTTAATTAGAAAATAATTTATTGTTAAAAATATGCTATGGTCTTCTGAGCCTTCAGTGAGTCATAATCAAATTCCTAGTAGAGAGTCTTGCTTTGATGTTGATGGCTGCTGACTGATTCATGGTGGTGGTGGCTGACGTTTGAAATGGCAGTGAGAATTTCTAAAAATAAGACAACAATGAAGTTTGCTGCATCAATTGGCTCTTCCTTTTATGAAGGATTTATCTTTTGCGCACAATGCTGTTTGACAACATTTTACCACAGTAGAACTTCTTTCAAAATTTGAGTTGGACCTCTTAAACCTTGCTTTATCAGCAAAGTGTACATAATATTTTAAATCCTTTGTTGTCATTTTCAACGATATTCACAGCATCTTCACTAGAAGTAGGTTTCATTTCAAGAAACTACTTTCTTTGCTCATCCATAAGAAATATGTCCTTATCCATTCACATTTTATCATGAGATTGCAGCAATTCAGTCACATCTTTAGACTCTACTTCTAATTCTAATTCTCTAGCTACCAAATCTGTAGCTCCCTCCTCCACTGAAGTCTTGAACTCCTCAAAGTCATCCATAATGGTTGGAATCAACTTCTTCCAAACTCCTGTTAATGTTAATATATTGACTTCCTCCCATATGAATCATAAATCTTTTTAATGGCCTCTAGAATATTGAATCCATTCAAGAAGGTTTTCAATTATCTTTGCCAAGATCCATCAGAGGGATCACTAATCTATGGCGGCTACAGTCTTAGAAAAGGGATTTCTTTTATAATAAGACTTGAAAGTTGGAATTTCTCCCTGACTCATGGGCTGCATCATGGAAGTTGTGTTAGCAGGTGTGAAAACGAGATCTCCTTACACATCTCCATCAGAACTCTTGGGTGACCAGATGCATTCCCAATGAGGAGTAATATTTCAAAAAGACTTTTTTTCTGAGCATTAGGTCCCAAAAGTGGGCTTAAAATATTCAGTAAACCATGCTGTAAACAGATGTGTTATTATCTAGTCTTTGTTGCTCCACTTTTAGAGAACAAGAAGATCAGATTTAGCATAATTCTTCAGGGTTCTAGGAATTTCAGAATGATAAATGAGCATTGGCTTCAACTTGAAGTCACTAGCCTGCATTAGCCAATAATAAGAGAGCAAGCCTGCTATTTGAAGCTTTAAAGCCAGACATTTGCTTCTCCTTTCTAGCTATGAATTCCTATATTGCATCTTATTTTAATAGAAGGCTGTTTCATCTACATTGAAAATTTGTTGTATACTGTAGCCACATTCATCGATGGTCTTAGGCAGATCTTCTGGATAACTTGCTGCAGCTTCTCCATCAGCATTTGTTGCTTCACCTTGCATGTTTATTTTATAGAGATGACTTCTTTCCTTAAATCTCATGAACAAACCTCTGCCAGCTTCAAACTTTTTTTCTGCAGCTTTATGTCTCTCAGTCTTCATAGAATTGTAGAGAGTTAGGGCCATGCTTAAGGGAATGAGGTGGCTGCTTTGATTTTCTATCCAGACTATTACACTTCTCCATGTCACCAATAAGACTGTTTTGCTTTTGTATTTTTTGTGTGTTCACTGAAACAACACTTTAAATTTCCTTCAAAAACTTTTCCTTTGCATTTGCAACTGGGCTATTTGGCACAAGAGACCTAGATTTCATCACATATCAGCTTTCTACATGCCTTCCTCAACAAACTTACCCATTTCTAGCTTTTGATTTAAAGCAAGAGGCATGCAACTCTTCCTTTCATTTCTACACTCGGAGTCCATTGTAGGGTTACTAATTGGCCTGATTTTAATATTGTTGTGCTTCAGGGATAGGGAGGCCTGAGGAAAGGGAGAGAGATGATGTATTTGTCTGTTCTCACACTGCTATAAAGAAATACCCGAGACTGGGTAATTTAGAAAGAAAAGGGTTTTAATGGCTCGTGGTTCTGCAGGCTGTACAAGAAGCATGGCTGGGGAGGCCTCAGGCAACTTACAATCATGATGGAAGGCAAACAGGAAGCTGGCATGTCTTCACATGGCAGAGCAGGAGAGAATGTGAAGAGGGAAGTGCTACATACTCTTAAACAATCAGATCTCCTGAGAACTCACTCACTATTATAAGAATATCAAGGGATCTGCCCCCATGATCCAATCACCTTCCACCAGGTCCCACCTCGAACACCGGGGATTACAACTCAACATGAGATTTGGGTGGGGACACAGAGCCAAATCATATCAGCTGGAGAACAGTCAGTGAATACAACAGTCAGAACACACACAACGTTTATGAATTAAGTTTTCTGTTTTATGTGGGCCTGTTTCATGATGACCCAAAACAGTTATAATAGTAATATCAAAGACCACTGATCATAGGTCACTATAGCAGATTTAACAATAATAAAAAAGTTCGAAATATTACAAGACACAGAGACACAAAGTGAGCACATGCTGTTGGAAAAATGGTGTCAATAAACTTGCTAGATGCAGGATTGTTGCAGAATTTCAATTTGTAAAAAGTACACAATCTGTGAGGAGCAATAAAGCAAGTTGCAATAGAGCAAAGTATGCCTGCATATAATTTTTATGTGTTAATTAAATCAGTATATTTTTCAAAGAGGACTTCTTGGAGATATGTCACAATATTAAAAGTATAAAAGTTAAAATGCTATGCAATGATGAAGAATCAGCATTTTTCAAACTACTTAATACATTTTTAAAAAGAAATAAAACACTTTAATTGTTCTAATGCTTTATAGTATAGTGTACAAACCAAATATTAGGTTTGCTATGTTTTTATACTCCTATTTGTTTATAATTTATAGTAAGACAACATTTTAAAGGTCATAGGACAATTCTCATTATTCCCATCTGTTGTTAAGATTGTTTTCCAGAGATTGTAAAGTTATTTCAATATCATGAAAAGTGAAGACTGCTTGTACTTTGTGTAAGTACCTATCAAAATAACAAGCAATATACTTTGACTGTATAAGTACCTATAGAAATAATAATAATAAACAATGTTGAGAACATGATTTCAAACTTAATATAGTCTAATGACTTCACGTGCAGGACTAGACCTTAAATTAATTATTTTACTGTTTACTTAGTTGCTGCTTAAGAGATTACAATATTAATCATCTTATTACAATTTAACAGATACTACTTCTCACACTTCATGCCCAAAAATGCTAGGACCTCAGAGCCCTTTAATCCCATTTCATTTTCTCTCACCTTTCATGTTACTGTTGCGATACATTTTAATTCCATGTTTCTTTAAAGTCTAAGCCAAGCTTGTCCAAACCCATTGCCCACCGGGTGTGTGCAACCCAGGACGGCTTTGAATGTGGCCTAACGTAAGTTCATGACTTTAGTTGATTGCATCATTTAATCCTCAGAATAATCATATAAGTTATGTTTGTTTCTTTTTTTTTACTGTATAAGAAAATTGTGGCACAGAGAGTTTAACCTTTTTTACAACCCATAGGTGAGGGAAGCCCTAGAATGAAGCATATTATGATAGAAACACAGGGAAGAGAAAGTGGACCAGGATTGAAATTGTACTGGCTGTTTTATGTTTGTTTTTCCTTTTGTTTTCTTTGCTTGGAGGGAAGGGCCACAGTGTTAATTCTTGATTATATTTTGTACATTAGAAAAGTTTATATAATGATATTATTATCCCAGAAGTTAAAATCAATAAGTAATTGAATTATAACATTTTAGATGAATATATGCATTTATTTTTCTAATTTTAATTTTTTTATTTTAATTTTATTTATTTATTTATTTTTGAGACAGAGTCTCACTATGTTGCCCAGGCTGCAGTGCAGTGGTGCAATCTCAGCTCACTGCAACCTCCACCTCCCGGGTTCAAGAGATTCTCCTGCCTCAGCCTCCCTAGTAGCTGGGATTACACGCATGCACCACCATACCCAGCTAATTTTTGTATTTTTAGTAGAGACGGGGTTTCACCATATTGGCCAGGCTGGTTTTGAACTCGTAACCTCGTGATCCACCCCCCTCGGCCTCCCAAAGTGCTGGGATTACAGGCATGAGCCACTGCACCTCATGCAATTTATGTTAATAAGATTCATCAACTTCATTAGCTTTCAGATACTCTTAATATCTTGAAGAAAAAAAGAACTGTGAATAAAAATGATATTATTTGTTAACAAATTCTACATTCTTATTGAACAGTGCTGGAATAATAAAGTGAGATGACTGATTCCAAATGAGAAAATGAAATTCTTTCAGGTGACCTTTAAAACTAAAACTCTTTGCTGGGAAACATATCATGGATTAAGTAAAAGCAATACCACTTAGTATAAATCCTTTTGGTTTTTGGTCAATGATTTGATTTACTCTAGAGTCAACAATTTGGTGGTCCATTTAGAACTTAAAAATATATCATTAAACTTTGTTTCAACATTTCACTTATACCTTCAGATGGAATTTAAAGTGAAGGCACTCTCCTGTCTCACATACATTATATTCACCAATCTTTTTACACTGAACTGGAGTGAGTGTCATATATTATGCCTACACACCAACCTGAAAAAGCAGATTCTATATGCTACCTATCCTAAAGAAATGTCCATATTTTAATATAGTAAGTAAGCCAGATTCTTTGTTACCTAAAACTCAGGCTGTGGACCCCCAACAGCAATATATCATTAATGTGAAAGTATGTAAAATGGAAAGCATGTAAAAAGTCACAAGAAAATATAGAGAAGTGTCTATTAATGCCAAATATGCATATATATATATATATATATATATGGGGGAATATCTACACTAAATAAGATATCCTAGATAAAGAGTTCAGGTTTTGACTAAGATGGGAAAACATATTCCAGCCAGAAGGATAAATATTTGAAAAGATGCAAAACCTTGACCCATAGCACAGGGATAAGTATGCTTTCCAAATGATATGGACTGGATCCTATAGATCAGTGGTCGGCAAACGTGATTCCCACACCAGCAGCAGCACTTGTGAATACACTCAAAATGCACATTCTCAGGCTTCACCCTAGATCTACTGAATCTGAGAGTTGGGAGGTGGGTCGGCTAACGTGTGTGTTAACAAGCTTTCCATGTGATTTGAGAATCGCTACCATACAGAGTGAATTTTAAATCAGGCGAGTGATGTGATAGAATCTAAATTGTTGAAAGATAATTCATCAAGGGCTGTGGGGGACTGGGGGTCTAATTGGAGATGGTAATAGTTAGAGATAGGGAACCAATCAAAAATCTATTGCAATGTCTTCTGATACACAGTAGTTACACCATAAAATAAACAAACAAAGAAATGAAAAGCCCACGTGCTTTTTTTTTAGGATATGGATCACATTCTACTTGTTTTTCTACTTCGTATTTATTTTTCTACTTCATATCAGATGGTGTCTGTTCCAATATCTGATAGACAGTTGGTCTTAATTAATGTTTGTAGAATAAATGCTGAATAGTATAGGCGATAGAAGGGAATGCTTTAACCAAGGCAGAAACTAGAAGTGGCTTAAAAATGTAAGAATTTTATGATAAGACACGTTGCCTTATATGACTAAAATTCTCAATTTGATTCTGGGGTGGGTGAGTTCAGTGGCCGAATAACAACATTTTCAGAGTTCTCCCTGTCTTCTTACTCTGCCTTCCTCAATGTTTGGGCTTTTTTTCCCTTCAGTTTGTCCCGTCATTGCTATAAAATGGCTGTAGCTGGGAACAAATTCTCCCACAGCAACACACAAAGGACATGAAGAGAGGACTGTCTCCTTCTTGTGTGTTTCCTTCAGCAGCAGCAAAATGTTTCCAGACCCTCACTTCCTCCTTCACTGTCAGAAAAATCTTCTCTTGTTTGCTTTTGACCAGAATTGCACCATATGCTCATTTCTTAAACAACCACAGGCAAGTGAGTGGAATTACCAACATAGATTGATGCTAATTAAGATTCACCTTGGTGGCTGGGGTTACTTCCAGCCCTCTTGGAAGCACACGGCTTCTGATACTAACCGAAAGTGGCGGGGAGTGGAAGATCATGTCCACGGGGTAGGAAAGTAAGGGAATTACAGCAATCATGCCTTCTTCGAGAGTTGTTGAGAGGGTAATGCATGTGAACCCTAGGCAAACATTAATTATTAATAATCAGCCCTTTTGGAGCACCGAAAGTCTACCTTATATAGCGCTAAGTGCTTTTAGGGTTGGTTTAAGAGACAGTGCATTATGCAGGAAGAATCGCAGGCACATAACCCACTCATACGTATTTTCAAGGTCTGCCTTTGTAGCTAATCAGCATTCTGACTTCCATCACATAGGAAATCTGTGTTTCTTTTTATTGATGATAATACATCTGCCTTATATCCTTCTCTAGGTCACTGCGTACATAAATTTTCCCTGATAAACAGGAAATTACTCTATTGATTGCATTGCCTATTATCAAAGGCCATCAGTCCCAGCTAATAAAGAGCGAGAATTCTAATCTTCTGTGACTATCTATTTAATTCGCAAGTGTTACACACACTCTATCATTTAATTCTTACACACAACCCCGGAGGTAGGAGTTATTCTTCCCACTTAACAAATTAGAAGTCTGTGACCCAAAGACTCTAAAGTCCTTGATCTAATTGACCCTAACCTATAGCTTATGAGTTGGGGGAAAGGATTTTCACCCATGGCCACTGGAACCCAAGCAGATGCTCTCTCCTCCATATACGCTGTTTATTAGATAGGCCTGTATGGGCTAACTGAGTCAAACCTGAAAAGACAGAGACAGTGTGGTCAGTTCAAGCATAGATTGTTCTGTTCTTTTCTCTCATGGCCCAGGGCTCTCAGGAGCCATCTCTCTAGCATAGGGCCACAATAGTATTTAATAAGGGCTTATAATAAGAAGACTGAGCTTTTAAGTTTATTTTCAAAGTGAACTTTTAAAAATTGGCTTTCCTTTTTATTTATTTGAAATGAATAAGACAGTCTCCCAGGTGAAGAGGGTGGGGAAATACAGGGGTGTAGAATTTTGCTGGAATTTCTGGAATTAGCTATGTCCTCGGGCATTCCTGCTGCCTTGAGTGTGGGGCCTTTCATGTAGGTGGGGATGTGGCTAAAGGAAGGGAGGCTGGGTGTTTTGAAAACAAAATACTTTGTATTATCCTCAGGGCCTGATTCACTGGGCTGTGTGCAGGAGAATTAGGAGAATTTACTTTTAAAAGAAATTCTTGGTAACTGCAAGCTGTGGCAGCTTGGTTCCAGCACGCAGCACCTACTTCAAATGGTTTTCCAGAGAAATGCCGGTGTGTCTCCAGCTGCAGCTGCCGCTCCTGCATGGTTTGTGTTTTCTCTGATGCTTAGGCACCAAATGCTTTAGCCTCTGAGGACAGCAGAGAGGAGGGAACAAAACAGTCATGTCATCTGTGTAAATGGAAGAGCAGCCAGGAACATTCAGCAGGAGAGAGTGCCTTCTAAATACGTTTGTAAAAAATGCTTCTCTTTCTATTCCTTTAGCTAAATATGGTGTGTGTGGTGCCTGAGTACTCTCCAGTAGGATGTGTAGCTCATCTGTCTATCACCTGCCTATTGAGAGAGATTTTAAGGAACTGGCTCACAGGATGGTGGGGGCTGGCCAGTCAGGGTAAGAACACAAGCTGGAGCTCCAGGAAGGAGATGTTGCTGTTTGAGCCCAAAAGCCGTCCGCTTGGTCGAATTTCCTCTTTGGGGGAAAATCACTCTTAGTTCTAATAAGGCCTTAATTGATTGAAGGAGGCCCACCCACACTGTGGAAGGCAGTCTGTTTACTAAAATTCCACTGGTTTAAATGGTAATTCCATCTGAAAACACCCTCCCAGAAACATTTAGAATAATGTTTGACCAAATGTCTGGGTATCATGTCCCAGTCAAGTTGACACAGAAAATTAACCATTACATGTGGCTTAGCCTACATTTAAGTGAAGACTTTCATCATTTTTTAAAGTCCCAGATCCATTGAGTACAACAGGTCTTTTGAGCCATGTTTTGGCTGTCATGAAAGCAGGGATAAACCATCTTTACCTGCCCACGATGAGCTTTGCAAAGATTAAGAGTTTTTGAGCAAATAAACTCATCCTATACAGAATGTGAGCCAAATCGTCAGACAGCCAGGAGTTCACAGGTAAAATAGAGCTAATCTCAAAACATCTACTTTTTGAATGTTTTTATATTAGCAATAAAATAATAATCCATCCATTCACCCATGTAATTTCTTATATTTCATTTTTTAGGCAAGCAAAAAGGATGTGTGATATAAAATATTGGCTTCAAATTGGACATTGAAATGCACAAAATGTAAGGATTGAAATGTCACTAAATCAAATGTTTAACATCTTTAAGAACCTTGGTACCCAGTACCCACCGAGGCTACTTGTGGTGTGGAAACTTTAAAAGTAAGCCTGTTGTTTAAACACATGCTACTTTTACAAAGAAGTTGCTGTCAATTTTACTTTGAGGAGTGTAGCTATTTTTACATAAGATCTCAATAGAATTCCTAGCCGCATGTGGCTGAGACTTGTCTGGAGATGACGTGCTTCTCCAGCTGTTGTAAAAGGATAACTTATCAAAATGCCCACCTCACTTCTCTTTTTGAGCCTCTCTCTAGCCTGGAAGGGTTTCTTATTTGATTATGATGCTCTAGGTAGTTTGTCAGCTGAAGGAGTGCTTCATGTCCTGAAGACAAAAGGGGTTACTGCACTTAGGACCCTTGATTACAAAATGAATTGAAAAGTCACCGTCTTCTTGTTACAGGACTGCTCAACCATAACGATTCTCTTTCTGATCCTTTACTTTAGCTATTTTCTGCCAAAGCAAAGGGTAATGCCTATCTGAGAAGTCCCATAGCCTGCAGTTCCTCACCTTATCACTCAGTAGAATCCATTCCTGTGCCGCAATGCCGTCTGCAAGACAGGCTGCTGCCTTTATGGCTGATGCTAGGGGACAACGAGGTCATTATTTTCAGGGCCAGTTTTGCTGTATGTTTTAAAACAATATTCATGGTAGCCTACTACTCTGTATCTATTTATCCAGGGTAATCAACAAATATGAGGCAGGAAAAAGATGCATCAATATCAGCGACGTTAGAGTGGTGTACAAATACAATAGAAACAATAAGCTTGACATGAATTTCCTTACACTATGAAAATAAATCAAAATAAAAGTAAACCAATCTGTAATTCTCATTCTTGATATGTATCTTTCTTTTACTGTCTCATAGATCTCAGAAGAGTTGGGCTACTTAGCTGAGCAAGAGGGCATTACTCCGGATCTCAAGGGTATCCACCATGTAGCGTCTTCTTAGGTCACTTGTAGACTGTGTTTTCCAATGTCTCTACTCCAGTCATAGGGATGAGTTCCTTCCTCTGCTGTCCTGACATACCTTCTCTGAGCATATATTTACCTAAGCTGATTCATACCCATCCTTGAGACTGAGCCCCAGCATCACTGCATTCAGAAAACCTTTTCTGACTCCACATTTGATTGGACACTCTTTTTATACTTGGTTTCATAGCCTCCTCTTCTTTCATCTCAATAATGTTTTATCACCGGCCTATCATCATGGTCATCGCATTGTGAACACAGCACAGAAAGGGATGCTGAAACTGGTGGAGAGTGTAGACTTTACTGTCACTTTAGCCTTCACCTCCTACTTATCATGTACACCTTCATCATCATAGTCTTCTTCACTATCTTCTTAGTGGTCATTCATATCAGTGCTATATTTGCTTTGTATGCATTGTGTTATGTAATCTCCATGTCAACTCTATGACCTAAGTGATACCACGTATTCCTGTGCAGCATGCAAAGGCTTGCAGAGATTAGAAACATGCTAAGGTTTATGCTGCGATTCATACCTGCAGTCTGGCTGACTCTAGAACTCTAAGCAGAATGTCATGGAACCTCAATAACAGCAAATAATTAACATTCTTTAAGAGTATGATCCTTCCCTTATCCTCCACAATACTTATTAATATGTCACATACAGAGACAATATTGAAAAGCATCTGTTGATATAACAAATTTGAATGTCATGTGCTAAGAGAAGCAAAACCTGCTTATTCATGGCAAAGGCTTTTGCTTCTCAGAGTTAGAAGTACCTAATTATGGCACAAGTTCTCATCTTTCTTTGGAATATCATCAACACATAATTTCTCTAATCTTTGGGATGTCAGAGATTGGCCCCCACTTTCTATCCAAGACTGGTTGCATATACCTTGACCACGTTCTTACGAGTTGAGAGTCTTGGTTAGGAAAGTGTCTATTGAATAAATCAGAGTGATTGAGTTGTAAAAGTCACCCTACATCCATATGTTTAAGGCATTATTTATTCCCATAAAAATAATTTCTATATAATAAAATAAAAATCTAATTATTTGAGAAATAGATAGTGTCTGCTGCATATATAATCATTTCTGTTTGCCTTTGTAGTGCTTAGGGGAACTTACATGTATGTCTGTGGAGGTATCAAAAGATGAAAGTATATACAAATGACCCTCATCTTGAAAGCTAATGAGGAAAGACTTGGGGACGGTGTCCTATTATCTGAGTGACAAATGAGGTAGAAAGAAGGATGGAAATAGCAAGTGGTGACAGTAAAGACAAAGTCTGGGAGAGCAGCTCCCAGTAGAGAAGAACACTGGAAAGATCACAGGATTTGGACAGACAGAGAGATTTGGACAGCATTTCAAAGCCACATCTGCCATGTCCAGACAGGTAAAAGTTGGCATGTTTCTTAAATTCTGTTTCAGGCTTTTCTTTTTTTTTTTTTTATTATACTTTAAGTTTTAGGGTACATGTGCACATTGTGCAGGTTAGTTACATATGTATACATGTGCCATGCTGGTGCGCTGCACCCACTAACTCGTCATCTAGCATTAGGTATATCTCCCAGTGCTACCCCTCCCCCCTCCCCCCACCCCACCACAGTCCCCAGAGTGTGATATTCCCCTTCCTGTGACCATGTGATCTCATTGTTCAATTCCCACCTATGAGTGAGAATATGCGGTGTTTGGTTTTTAGTTCTTGCGATAGTTTACTGAGAATGATGGTTTCCAATTTCATCCATGTCCCTACAAAGGACATGAACTTATCATTTTTTATGGCTGCATAGTATTCCATGGTGTATATGTGCCACATTTTCTTAATCCAGTCTATCATTGTTGGACATTTGGGTTGGTTCCAAGTCTTTGCTATTGTGAATAATGCTGCAATAAACATACGTGTGCATGTGTCTTTATAGCAGGATGATTTATAGTCATTTGGATATATACCCAGTAATGGGATGGCTGGGTCAAATGGTATTTCTAGTTCTAGATCCCTGAGGAATTGCCACACTGACTTCCACAATGGTTGAACTAGTTTACAGTCCCACCAACAGTGTAAAAGTGTTCCTATTTCTCCACATCCTCTCCAGCACCTGTTGTTTCCTGACTTTTTAATGATCGCCATTCTAACTGGTGTGAGATGGTATCTCATAGTGGTTTTGATTTGCATTTCTCTGATGGCCAGTGATGATGAGCATTTTTTCATGTATTTTTTGGCTGCATAAATGTCTTCTTTTGAGAAGTGTCTGTTCATGTCCTTCGCCCACTTTTTGATGGGGTTGTTTGTTTTTTTCTTGTAAATTTGTTTGAGTTCATTGTAGATTCTGGATATCAGCCCTTTGTCAGATGAGTAGGTTGTGAAAATTTTCTCCCATGTTGTAGGTTGCCTGTTCACTCTGATGGTAGTTTCTTTTGCTGTGCAGAAGCTCTTTAGTTTAATTAGATCCCATTTGTCAATTTTTGCTTTTGTTGCCATTGCTTTTGGTGTTTTGGACATGAAGTCCTTGCCCACACCTATGTCCTGAATGGTAATGCCTAGGTTTTCTTCTAGGGTTTTTATGGTTTTAGGTCTAACATTTAAATCTTTAATCCATCTTGAATTGATTTTTGTATAAGGTGTAAGGAAGGGATCCAGTTTCAGCTTTCTACATATGGCTAGCCAGTTTTCCCAGCACCATTTATTAAATAGGGAATCCTTTCCCCATTGCTTGTTTTTCTCAGGTTTGTCAAAGATCAGATAGTTGTAGGTATGCGGCGTTATTTCTGAGGGCTCTGTTCTGTTCCATTGATCTATATCTCTGTTTTGGTACCAGTACCATGCTGTTTTGGTTACTGTAGCTTTGTGGTATAGTTTGAAGTCAGGTAGTGTGATGCCTCCAGCTTTGTTCTTTTGGCTTAGGATTGACTTGGCGATGCGGGCTCTTTTTTGGTTGCATATGAACTTTAAAGTAGTTTTTTCCAATTCTGTGAAGAAAGTCATTGGTAGCTTGATGGGGATGGCATTGAATCTGTAAATTACCTTGGGCAGTATGGCCATTTTCACAATATTGATTCTTCCTACCCATGAGCATGGAATGTTCTTCCATTTGTTTGTATCCTCTTTTATTTCCTTGAGCAGTGGTTTGTAGTTCTCCTTGAAGAGGTCCTTCACATCCCTTGTAAGTTGGATTCCTAGGTATTTTATTCTCTTTGAAGCAATTGTGAATGGGAGTTCACTCATGATTTGGCTCTCTGTTTGTCTGTTGTTGGTGTATAAGAATGCTTGTGATTTTTGTACATTGATTTTGTATCCTGAGACTTTGCTGAAGTTGTTTATCAGCTTAAGGAGATTTTGGGCTGAGATGATGGGGTTTTCTAGATAAACAATCATGTCGTCTGCAAACAGGGACAATTTGACTTCCTCTTTTCCTAATTGAATACCCTTTATTTCCTTCTCCTGCCTGATTGCCCTGGCCAGAACTTCCAACACTATGTTGAATAGGAGCGGTGAGAGAGGGCATCCCTGTCTTGTGCCAGTTTTCAAAGGGAATGCTTCCAGTTTTTGCCCATTCAGTATGATATTGGCTGTGGGTTTGTCATAGATAGCTCTTATTATTTTGAAATACGTCCCATCAATACCTAATTTATTGAGAGTTTTTAGCATGAAGGGTTGTTGAATTTTGTCAAAGGCTTTTTCTGCATCTATTGCGATAATCATGTGGTTTTTGTCTTTGGCTCTGTTTATATGATGGATTGCATTTATTGATTTGCGTATATTGAACCAGCCTTGCATCCCAGGGATGAAGCCCACTTGATCATGGTGGATAAGCTTTTTGATGTGCTGCTGGATTCGGTTTGCCAGTATTTTATTGAGGATTTTTGCATCAATGTTCATCAAGGATATTGGTCTAAAATTCTCTTTTTTGGTTGTGTCTCTGCCCGGCTTTGGTATCAGAATGATGCTGGCCTCATAAAATGAGTTAGGGAGGATTCCCTCTTTTTCTATTGATTGGAATAGTTTCAGAAGGAATGGTACCAGTTCCTCCTTGTACCTCTGGTAGAATTCGGCTGTGAATCCATCTGGTCCTGGACTCTTTTTGGTTGGTAAACTATTGATTATTGCCACAATTTCAGCTCCTGTTATTGGTCTATTCAGAGATTCAACTTCTTCCTGGTTTAGTCTTGGGAGAGTGTATGTGTCAAGGAATGTATCCATTTCTTCTAGATTTTCTAGTTTATTTGCGTAGAGGTGTTTGTAGTATTCTCTGATGGTAGTTTGTATTTCTGTGGGATCGGTGGTGATATCCCCTTTATCATTTTTTATTGTGTCTATTTGATTCTCCTCTCTTTTTTTCTTTATTAGTCTTGCTAGCGGTCTATCAATTTTGTTGATCCTTTCAAAAAACCAGCTCCTGGATTCATTGATTTTTTTGAAGGGTTTTTTGTGTCTCTATTTCCTTTTCAGGCTTTTCTTACATAAAAACTTACATCAATCTTGTTTAAAATTGTTAGAATTCAATAGACAATAAACGTAAGAAGACAGGATCTCTCACCTAGCGGGAGGTTAAAATACATCTACTTTCCTTAACTTTTGGTATATAAACACATTTTAAATGATTTTTTAAATAAATATACTTTGTATTCCATAAAGAGAGAAAGAAACCCTCCAGCAATGTCTTTCTACATTTACAATTGTAATCTCTGATTCTGGGGTCAAAAATTCTTGGGAGCCACCAGAGCAGCTCACCACTCAGGACAGCACAGGAGATAAGCTCTGGACACCTGCAGACTGTCTTCCTGGAAGAGTAACACTCAGAAAAGGTAATTAAAGAAAAGAAACGTTTCCCTCACATGCTTTTTGGGGTTATAATAACAGTTACCTTACTTGTAGCATAAATCCTTTTCACAGGCATTAAAATTTTTAGTGATTCTTTTTACCCCAACTTTTTATTTTGAAATGTTTAAACAAAGAGAAAGCTGAGGAAAGACTACAATGAACACAAAGTAGCCTGCTTTTTATGCTCAGTATCTTTTAGCTCTTTGCTATATTTATCCATTGATCTATTTATATATATACATGTTTTTTCTGCTCATTTATTGAAAGCAAATTATATACATGATAAAAATATAATAGTCCCCTACAGTAACCCACTACCGTTTTAATCTTTGAATAACAACCATAATTCCTTCATAATTTGTAATACTAACAACTATATTTAAATTTTCCAATTATTCAAAAATACTGTTTTTGATGGTTTTTGTATTGGACAAGAATCTGATCAAATTTTATTCAGTTCATTTGGATTTTATTTCTCTTTTGCCTCTTTTAATCTAGAAAATTCCCTACATTTTTTATTTATACTTATTACTGTTTTGCAAAACATTGAAATTTGAAGAACAAAGGATTATTGTCCTGAAGAACCTCTAAAGGCTGAGTGGGTCTAAGTTGTTTTAGCAGATAGTTCTGTAACCCCAGAATGTCCTGTAATCTAGACATTAGTTTATTTGGTTAGAATCAGGTTGAACCAGTTCGGCAAGAAACCATGTTATTGGTTGAATTGTGCCTCTCCACAAAAGATGCACTCACCTTCTTAGATTATGACCTTATTTGGAAATAGGGTCACTGTAGATGTAATTAGTTAAAATAAGGTCATATTGGAGTACAGTGGGCCCCTGTAAGAAAATGTGAAGACAAATCAACTCAGGGAGAACAACCTGATGACAAAGGCAGAGAAGCAGGGTAAGCAGCTGCAAACCAGGGGCTGACAAGGATTGCCAGCACCCCAACAAAACCTGGGGAGACAAGGAAGACCTGCCCTACAGGTTTCGGAGGAAGCATGGCCCTGCTGATGTCTTGATTCCTGACGTGCTTGAAGTAACCCAGTCTGTGACGGCACTTGGTTAAGGCAGCCTAGAAAACTAGCATCAAAGCAAACTAAACATGGCCTGAGAAGGACTTCGTACTTCTATATTTGAGTCCTTGTAGATGGACTGTAACCTAGCTTAATTGACAGACAAAACTGAAAACCTAACTTAGTAGTGTGCACCTGTCACAATAGCTGAGTGTTGGCCAATCCAGCGGCTATACTTCACCCACCCGTAGACTGCTGAATGTTCAAAATGCATTCAAATAGGGCAAAGACCAACTTGTATCCAATCTCACTGTTTCCGTACCTCACTTCTGATTCCTGTACAACACTTTACCTTTTTTGTCTATAAATTTGTTCTGACCACGAGGCATCCCTGGAGTCTCCGTGAATCTGCTGTGATTCTGGGGTCTGCCAGATTTGCGAATCAGTCATTGCTCAATTAAACTCCTTTAAATTTAATTCAGCTGAAGTTTTTCTTTCATCACTGGGAAGACAGGCAATGCTGTGTGCGTGACGCCGAACTGCATTGGACGCATATGGCGTCACATGCCTCATTATTTATGGTGCTGAGTCTGATAACTTGGTGAAGATTGAGAAGCTTAATTATAATGCTATGTTTGGTTTTGTTTTCCTTTCCAATTAACAAGCAGAACTAACTTTTGGAACTGTGGAAATATCCTTCCCAACAAGTGTTCAGAAAATGACATTCGTGTCCGTTAATAATTGATAAATCTTAACTGAATCAACTTTTTTTTTTCAAGTTGAAAGATGGTGTTTTGTAGCTTCTTCCACGTTTATGGACTATTTTTTTTTGTGAAAACAGAAATTTTTTCCTCATGAACTAGAATGAACTACGATAGTTCTACCTGAAATGCAAGAAAAACATTTAGTTGTCACCAATAATGATGTCAAATGATGTGCATTCTCCACCTCACCCCAACCTCACATCGCCACAAACACATAGCTTTTTATTGATTCAGTGTGGCATGATAAAATACAGTGAGTATTCATTTTTGATGTTGATGTATCCCACATTTGACCAATAGAAGCAATTTTAATCTAACTCTTCTGTCCTTTAAACATACCCTCCTTGGTTTTTTGTATCTTGCTGTTTTCTGGAACAAGACATTCCAGGATAACTCTGTCCTCTGTCTTAGGATTTCTCCAAGTGTTTTTTAGTTCCTTTATTGGAAAATGGTATTTAGAAACAATGATTTAGATACTAGTGGTTCTGACTACTTTTAATGTTTATTTCTTTTAGGATCTTTCAGCAAAGAGAGCTGGGAGTTATTTTTAATAAAAGATCCTTAGCACATAGTCACATTTCCACTTTAACCTTTCGGGGTATTTTCTTAACTTCTTATGTGCTGTTATATCAGCATCTGTTTTTCTTTCTGATACTGGAAATCTCAGTTTCTTATATAACTTTAACGTATATTCTTATATGTTGTATGAGAAACCTTGTCATTTGTTTTAACGTATTTTTGTCTTTTTTTCAGGAGTATTCCAGTGTTTCTATCATAACAATTTTACAAGTTTATGTTTATTCTTATTTTAAATTTTGTTTTATTGCTACTATAAATGATCTATTTTCTTATAGTTTCTACCTTGTAATAAGAAGATCTATTTTAAGAGTGCAGACAAGCTTAGTATGAAATTTTCTTGTACTGTTGAAACTATTATCATTAGAAAACATTCCTGTTTAACCCCATTGATATTTTCTGCTGCCTGGTATAAAACAGCTGCTTTATTTTGGTTGTTTGTCTGTTTGTTATGGTTGGCATTTGCCCACCATAAATTTAATTGCTTCTTTCTTTAGATTTAAGTATGTCTACCAAAATTTTCCTATGTTTATTTATTATTTATTTATTTTATTTATTTTTTTGAGATGGCGTCTTGCCCTGTCTCCCAGGCTGGAGTCCAGTGGTGTGGTCTTGACTCACTGCAACCTCCGCCTCCCAGGTTCAAGCAATTCTCCTTCCTCAGCCTCCCAAGTAGCTGGGATTACAGTCACATGCCACCGTGCCCAGCTAATTTTTATATTTTTAGTAGAGACGGGGTTTCACCATATTGGCCAGGTTGGTCTTGAACTCCTGACCTCAGGTTATCTGCCTGCCTCGGCTTCCCAAAGCGAGATTAGCTACTGTAATCCCGAGTAGCTGGGATTACAGGTGTGAGCCACCATGCCCTGCCTCAAATTTTTCCTTTAATAGGATGATTTAGTCCATTCATATCCATCATAATTACTTAATGAGTTTCTCTTATCTCATTCTTTAACTTTCTTTTTATCCTGTTTTTCTTCCTGCTTTATGTCTCACTTTCTCTTAGAATAATTTTTTTTCTGCTTCAATCCATTTCCTTTATTGATTTCTGTGCTCTGTGCACTAATTTTCTCTTTCTGTTGGCTATTAAACTAATCTTAAACATTTCTACTTAACTTGTCGAAATCTAAATTAAATCAATAGTTTTGTCTTTTTATTTGAAAATAAAAGAAGCTTTTGGTCATTTATACTACAAAATTAAAAAGCTTTTACTCTACTATATTATAATTTCAAAATTAATATCAAGTTCCTTCTAATAGATTATTCCTGAGCCAAAGTAAAAACACATTTCTATATAGATCTCTTAATTTGCAAAATTAATGATTTGAAATACCCCTGCTTAACAGTCAGTAATTAAGGTCTTTATGACTTATGTGAAAATGTCCCTCATTATCACAAAAGGTTTATGTCTTGAAGACCATAGTTTTATAGCTTCTTGTTACAAATTTTTGAGTGTTCCGATTCTGGACATAATTTTTGGTTAGGGCATAAAAAATTCACTTCGGCTGTGATTAAGTTCACTTAAGCTGAAGGCTAGTCTTTTTTAAACTGGTAATAGCCAGAGTCAAGACCTCAGTATTAAGCAAGGAGTTTTCTTCAAGATTCATCAATCAGGAAAATTTGCGGATGACCATATGTTTAAATTTGCCTTTTTGTAGAAAAAACTAAATAATTCATTATAGTTTGCTGCTTTGAGGCACATGAAGATACCTTTGGAAACTGCGCAAGGATATGTGCTCAGTGACCGTTAGGGGCACAGTGACAACCAGGATGGCACAGCCCAGGTCCCACAGAATGTGCTCAGCCAAAACATTGAACCAGCGTGGAGCCAGGCCTAACACATCTTCTAACCCTTCAACAAAACTTGCTGGTGGTTTGCAGATATGCCACCTCCTTTCATCGGCAATCCAAATGACCTTTGATCTCAGATCGAGAAGTGAAGACAATTGGTTTCTGCTGAAGGAGAAACACTGTTGTTCTGCCTTGTTGGTGCCGTAGGAGAGAAAGAGAGCAATGATATTTAAAAGTAATAAACTGTGTGTGCAGAGAAAATGACTTCGCTCCCTGTGGTGCATTCAGCACATTACATAGTAAACTTTCATTTGCAGAAAACATATTACCTTTTACACCAAATGTCGGAATCTCAAGTGGTAGTTATTGAACATTATTTTATATGCTTTTCACTTCGACATCTCTTGGCTTCAGCTTAGAGGACTAGTTTATCAGTGATACATCATGGCAAATTAATAGGTACAGATAAAACCTCCCATAAATATTCATTACATCTCATTACTGCAAATTAATGAGATATTTTAAAATTAAGCTTAGTCACATTTGGTACTGAGGATCTTGTTTTAATATATGATGCTCAGAGATAAATTATAATCTTGAAAAGGATTGAGCTCATTATGAAAACTTTTAAATAGGCATTGTAGTAACAATTTAGATAAGGACTAAGGACTATTATACCTGATTTTAGAAATGATGAGAAATTCTCTTTATATCTCCATACTTCTAAACCACTTGAATAACTTTTTAACTGTTCTCATATAATATTGCAAAGCAAAGAACTTCATATGTAGGATACCGTAATGCGTTTCAACAATTCAGAAACTATATCTATACTTAAAAGTGCCTGCCATGATACATAAAATTTAATAGTAAATATGATTTTTTTTGCACAAATAATGATTTGGCTTGGTTTTTTAAATCTGCTTTAAGAACCTGAGCAAATATTCCAGGATTTTTTAGGAAAATAAATGCATATAGGATAAATTTCATAAACCAGTGAGAATGGGTTTCACTCTCTTAGTGAATTTTGCAGTTCTCTAAGTGGTGACTAAGTGGTAACTATGCATCTACGAAGGCCTCAGTTTCTATTCTAGTGAGTAACACAATGAAGGCCATCCCCGTCCTGCTGGGACCTGAGAAGATCATGCAGATTGCATTCGAATTGGGTTATTTTTATGTAACTTGGTTCTCACACACTCTCTTCAGACACATATCCTTTTAAAAATTTATTCTTAAGAGACAGATCTCCCTATGCTGTCCAGACTGGAGTGCAGTGGCTGTTCACAGGCATGTTCATAGAACCTCAAATATCTGTGCTCAGCTGATCTTCCTGCCCAGCCTCCTGAGTAGCTGGGACTACAGGTGCACATCGCCATGCCTGGCTAGCTATAGCTTATCGAAAAACCTCACTTCTGCTGTTTCTTGACTTATTTCAAGAAGATTGTAGCATTCTTGTTTTTCTGATATAACTGCTCCAACATAAAGGAAGAGCCTTTTGTTAGCACCTCTTGATAGGCACCTTTGACGGTCTTCTTTCAGTCAGGCACACGAGAGGCACTGCGGCCTCACATAAGAATCAGATCAACCATCCTACGCACACCGATAATGAAATTCACCCCTTCAAGCAAGATTTCATTATCTAACTGTATTCATCATCTAAGTTCTTTCCTCCAAAAAATACATTTTAGTCCAAATGAAAAAATACCCAGAGTCAAATGGGTTCATTTAAGTTCATTCCTCCAAAAAATAAATTTTAGTCCAAATGAAAAAATATCCAAAGTCAAATGCCCTAAAACAAAACAAATCCTCTTGAGCTCTCTGAGCCCTTTTTCCCCTCATCTGAAAATGGAAGTTACCTGATTAGATAATATCTGAGCTAATTTCCAGCTTTAACATTCTATTATTCTAATTATATTTAATGCTAATAGCGTTAGGAAGCATAGTTTTTGTATGTTTTATTACATTTACTTGTCTGATATCTTCTACAGCAAAATAATTTTTGCTCTTTGGCGTTTGAATCCGTATCCCTTCATTCATTAAATGTTTACATAAGTAGCACCTCTAGAATATAAGTTCACGGGAGAGCAGCTTTACGTGTCTTGTTGACTTTTGTGTCCCTAGGACTCAGAAAGAGGCCAAGCATGCAGGAGGCATTTCCGGAACAGAGGGTGAGTGAGTGTGAGTCTTCTATAAAAGATTCAGAGATAATTACATTTGGTCTTTTTTCATGAAGCATTTATAATCAAGTAGAAACAGAAAGATACAAAAACAGCCATTATACCAGAGATTGCATAGTGGATGTTGTGAAGTCATTGAGACAGAATAGAGAGAAAGTAGAAAGCTACCCACCATCCCCCAAGCAAAAACTCTGAAGAAGATAATTTGGGTTTGTAAGGCATGAACTCCTGAACTCCAGGATAAGGAGTTTGAAATCCAGAGAAATATCTTGCCTATTGTTGCTTTGTTTTAGAATCAGCTTACTTGATGCCATCAAAAAACAAACAAAACCCCCTCGAAAAACACACAAAAAACATCCGAGTACTTGTGGAATGCAGTTGAATACACAGGGCAACTTGGGGAAAAACTGGTATCTCTCTCATATTATGTCTCTTTATGCATAAGCATGTTTTACCTTTTAATTTATATAGACTTCCTTTAACGTGTTCAATATAAAGTTTCATTCTTCTCTGTAGTATATTTACACATGCATTTTAAAAATATACTGTTAGTTACAAATACATTTTTCTATTATAAATGACAAACTTGTGGTATGTTTGCTATTTCAGTATAAAAATCCTATTACTTTAAGTATTAATCTTATAGTGTGTAACCTAGCATAATTTCCAATATTCTAGAGATTTGTCTGTAGAAGTTTTTGGGACTGCTACCTAAACAATCATATTATGTGTGAATAATGACCATTGTGTATTTTCCCTTTTCGATTCTCACACATTTTGTATTTTTTTTCCTTTCCTTACTGGAAGACCCATATATGTTTTTAACAGGTGTGGTGAAACTGGGAATCTGGTATTGTTTCTGACTATATTAATAATTTTGTTTTGTTTTATTATTTCATATGTTTCCGGTAATTCCTTCTACAGATTATTGAAGTGCTCTTCTTGTAGTTTTCTGAAAGTTTTTTATTATGGGTTGTCTTCTAATACTTGAATCAGTTTTACAGATACATACTTTTCAAGAAAATTTTCTGTGTTTCCTAGGTTTCAAAATGCTGGCACATTTTTTCATAATAGTCTGTTATCATATTAGTCTTTATTATATGCAGTGATAATTCCCATTTTCATTTCTAGTATTGGTTATTTGCACATTTTCTCTTTATTTTTACTTTGACCATCATTGCCAGAGGTTTGTCCATCTTATTACACTTTCAAAACAAAGAATCTGGCACTGTGAATGATCTCAATTGTATCTTTGTTTTCTATTTTATGAATCTCTGCTTTCATACTTATTACTTCTTTTTTCCTGCATCTTTGAGTTTATTCCGCGGCTATTTTGCTTACTTCCTGTACCGGATGCCTGACTCATTAATTTTTAGTCATTCTTATTTACCCATATAACTATGTTTGCTTTAAATATACCCTTAAGGCACTCTTTAGTTTTATCCCCGCTTTTTTGGTGTGTAGCACTTATATTATTATGTGCCTTAAAGTATATTTTATTTCAATTGCTTTACATATAATATATGATATTTGGAAGCATGTTTTTAAATTTGTGAGTGCGTATTTAAGAGCTATAGTTCTTAAAACGTGCCCCCTTGATTAGCAACATAAGCATCATCTGAGAACTTGCTAGAAATGCAAATATGGGTCTCACCTTACACTTCCTAAGGCAGAAATTTGGTTGGGTCCAAAAAATGTGTTTCAAAAAGCCATTCATTGGAGTTTGATATACAGTAAAGAATCAGATTATTTGTTTTAAAAATAGATACTTGAAAGCAGAGAGTATACACTGAATAATATTGACTTTAAAAAGTCATTTTATATCTTGATAAGTAGCCCCTTTTTATAAATGTCCTTTGTGTGCTTCTGAAGAACATGCATCTTCCAGCCATTAGATGTGTAGTATATATTTATTATACCAAGAAGGTTAATTATGTTGTTTCAAACCTACTACATCTGAATGTTTTTCTCTCCATCCATTCTATCAATTAATGACAGAATGAATAAAAACCTCTGACATGATGGATTTTCCAGTTTCTCCTTTTTACCTGTCATGCTTTATCTCACATATTTTGAAGGTTCATTATTATATGAGTTTTTACTTTTCTTTTAGAAGACAATTATGTTGAGATATAATTTTCATGAGATTAGCCTATTTACAGTTTACAATACAATAGTTTAACATAGACAGTTATGTAACCATTACAATAATATCATTTAAAACAATTTCACCAGCTTTAAAACTTTGGGCAATCACTTTCCATTTGTTCCTCCAGCAAAACTAGTTAACCATTAATCAAGTATTTATCCCTAAATATTTGTCTATTTTGGATATTTCATATAAATGGAATCATATGAAATGTGGGGTTTTATGTCTGGCTTCTTTCACTTAACAGTGTTTTCAAGGTTCATGTAGACTGCTGCATGTATCAGCGCTTAATTCCTTTTCATTGTCAAATACTGCTCTATTGTATAGATTTACCGTATTTTGTTTATTCACTTATGGCTACACAGATATTTGGATTGTTTTCACTTATTGACTTTATGAATAATGATGCTAACACTAGTTGTGTGCAAGTTTTTGTGTGGACAAATATTTACATATCTCTTGGTCTAGCAGTGCAACTTCTGGGTAATATAGTAACTCTGTGTTCAGCATTTTGAGGAACTACCATAGTGTTTTTCTAAGTGCACCATTTAGCAGTGCATGAGGGTTTCAGCTTCCTTAGGCCCTGACCAACATTTGGTTTTGGTCATTGGTTTTTATTACAGCCTTGCTAGATCATGTGAAGTGGTATGTCATTGTGCTCTTGATTTGCATTTCTCTGATGACTGAAGATGTGGACCATCTTTTCATATGCTTATTAGCCAGTTCATGTTTTTGGTGAAGTGCCTATCAAAAGTCTGGCTCATTTTTAAATTAGGTTCATTATTGAGTTATATATGGTCTTTATATGTCCTGAATGCAATTCAATTATCAGATATATGATTTGTAAATATTTTCACCCATTCTGTGAGGATGTCTTTAATTTCTTGATAGTGTCCTTTAAACATAAACATCTTTAGTTTATATAAAGTCCAATTCATCAATTTTTTCTTTTGTTGTTAGTACTTTTGGTGTCAAATGTAATAATTGCTGAATCTGAGATTATGAAGACTAATGTCTATGTTTTCTAATAGTTTGATAGCTCAATAATTATTAAATTATTAATAATAATTAATGATGTAATTACTAATAAAGCTTCTGTTTGCAGTATTCGCTACATGTCAACTGGATCAAGTTCATAAATCATATCATTTACATTTTCTATATTCTTAAGGATTATTTAGAATACTTGTTAAATTAGCTCCTAAGACAGTGTGATATACTCTTTGACTTGTGAATACTTTTACATCACTTTTAGTTATTTAAATTTTGCTTTATATATTTTGAAGCTATATTATTAGTTACCTATAAATTCAGATTTATTATATATTTCTTATAGAATATATTTTCATCATTATGAATTGCTTCTTCCCTTAAAGTCTACACATCTATTACTTTAATTATATCTTCTTTTAATGATTAATATCGCGTATAACTTTTTGATCTTCTTATCTGCAATCTTTTGAGGTCATTATGTCAATTTTTGTTCTAAAAGCAGTATAAAGTTTTTACTTTAATACAGCCTATCAGTCATTGACTTTTTAAAGTATTTAATACATTTACAGTTAATATAATTGCTGGTATATTCGAATTACCCCTAATTCTATCATGTGTTTTTATACCTTTATTAAGGAACATACTTCAAAGGGAAAATCTCCTTGTAGTGTTTATATTAGCATGGGTTTATTGGCAATGAAATCTTTCACTTTCCTTTTTCTGGAAATGTTTTTGTCTTCATTTTTGAAGAATATTTTCACCAGGTGTAGAATTCCAGATCATCAGTTGTTTGCTTTCAGAACTTTACGTTTGCCATTTGTTTGTCATTATGCTTTCTTCATTCTGTGGAGAGTTAACCATAGGACATGTTGTTTCTTTGCAGGCAAAGACTTTGTAAATATTGTTTCCACCTCATTCTTGTTATACTCTAACATTCCAATATTACAAAACATTAGACTTTTTCACAAAGTCTTATATATCTTTAGTTGTTTTTTCCCCCTGTATTTCTTCCTCCCCCTTTTTATTGTCTCTCTATACTTGATTTTGACATTTTCTACTAACTCTCTTCAGGATAGTCAAACATGCTAATAGCCCCATATGCATGGTTTTACTTTCAATTTATGATATGCTTTTGTTTTCGAATACACATTTGTTTCTCTTTAATAATCCCAGAGGTCTAATGGAATTCTTCATGGTTTCCTGAAACATTTTGATCATGACTACTTTTAAATCTCTGATAACACTAATAACTGGATCACTGATAGCTTTACTATTGCTCTTGTCTCTCAGGGAATCACATAATTTTTGACAGAATCTTTCATCTTTTCTATTAAAAACTATAGAAGTCCAGATAGTTTTTTCCAGAAAGCGTTTTGCTAACTTTATGCCCGACAAATTAAGTGCAGATCATCTTGATTCTGTCAGGGATTAAGTTGCCTAGAGGTTGGGTTTTTGTGTAGCGCTTGGTCTACTTAACCATTCACCCTTAGTTCTAGAGTCCATTCTTTGGGGAGTTTCAACTAAACCCTCCAGTGTTCATCAGGGCCACTCCAGGCTGATAAGATCTGAGTCAAATTTTTATTTCCAGCATCATGAAATTCCCGATATCTCTGCTTGGATTGTCAGCCTCTAATTGGTCATTTGCTTGTAATATAATCTACCCCTTGGACTACTCTGAAGTGTCATATGTCGTGAGTGGCAAAACAAGTCATACAGAAGTACTAGGTTTATTTCACCATATTTCCCTTTTCTTTTGTCTCTTGGCTCAAGTCCTGACTGCCTTTGTAGTTATTTGATGATTTCTGTGCATTTTGTGAAGGATTTTTTTATTTTCCTGGAACAACTTTAATCTGTTACAGATTATTTCTCATTGCTTAAAATTAAATTCTCTATTTTGTTATTTATGTTAATTACGATTACAGATGCTTTTGGAGTTTTTTGTATCATATTAATTTCTGTTTGTCTCCATTTTTAATTTTCACATTTCTTTTGCTTGCATTTAGATTTAGTGTTTTTAAAAATATTACATTTTACCTTTTTATTGTTTGGAAGTTTTAATATTTGATCATTATTCCTTCAGCTTTTACCTTAAAAATGTATAGATATTTACATTCGTGAAACATAAAATTAATACATACCTTCTTCTGTGTATTTTAAGATTAAAAATATTATCATATTCCTTTGGACTTATAAACAATTGTTGTCCAGTACTTCAGTATAAATATATATTTAAATCTATAAGTTAAGTATTATTATTATAAATTGTTGTTTAAATAATAAAGGATAATGTCTTAGAGTCCCCTTTTAAATAATTCATTTTTTCATTTTTTTCTGACATTTCTTTTAAAACATTTTTTGAGTAAGGGTCCATTAAAAAAACTTTCTGCTTATCTGAATTTGTCTTTAGTGCTACTTATAAAAAGATTTTTATGGTGTACAAATTCTTGGGTCATAACGTTCACTGAAAGTTTTATTTGTGAAATTGTTTTCGGCTGTCATTGTTGATCTTGAAAACCAGGTTGTTATTATACAGGTTAGCTGTTTCAAAAAAAATAGTTTCCTTGTTTTTGTTTGGTTTATATACTTTTTGAATAACATTTTATTTATCATGTTTAAGACTTTCAATTCTTAGATTTTTAAAATTAATTCTGAATAATATTCTTCCATATGTCTTTACATATTGCCTCGTTTTCATTCTCTTGTCTTCCCTCCTGGAATTTGAATTATGTTATACCTTTTCTTATTCTCTATGTCTATTATATTTTATATTATTAATTTCCTTTCTACTATGTAATTAGAGATACTGCATTCATCCTGTTCTCATGCTGCTAATAAAGACATACCCAAGACCAGGTAATTTATAAAGGAAAGAAGTTTAATTGACTCACAGTTCAGCATGGTTGGGGAGGCCTCAGGAAACTTACAATCATGGTGGACGGGGAAGCAAACATATCGTTCATCACATGGCAGCAGCAAGGAGAAATACTGGGCAAAGAGGGGAAAACCCCTTATAAAACCATCAGATCTTGTGAGAACTCACTCACTATCATGAGAATAACAGCATGGGGGTAACCATCCCCGTGATTCAATTACCTCCCACTGGATCCCTCCGACAAGTGGGGATTATGAAAAGTATAATTCAAGATGAGATTTGGTTGGGGCCACAGCCAAACCATATCATTCTGCTCTCAGCAGAGTTTAACATCATTAAACGTTAAAGTTCCAAAATGATCTTCTTTGACTTCATGTCTCACATCCAGGTCATGTTGTTGCAAAAGGTGAGCTCCCATGGCCTGAAGCAGCTCTACCCCTGTGGCTTTGCAGGGTACAGCCCACTCCAAGCTGCCTTCCTGGCTGGCGTTGAGTGTCTGAATCTTTTCCAGGTGCACAGTGCGAGCTGTTGGTGGAACTACTATTCTGGGGTCTAGAGGACGATGGCCCTTTTCTCACAGATGCACTAGGCGGTGCTGCAGTGGGAACTCTGTATGGAAGCTCCAACCCTACACTTCCCTTCTGCACTGCTGCAGCAGAGGTTCTCCATGAGGGCCCTGCCTCTGCAGCAAACTTCTGCCTATACATCCAGGCATCTCCATACATTCTCTGAAATTTAGGCAGAGTTTCCCAAACCTCAATTCTTGACTTCTGTAAACCGGAAGACTCATCACCACATGGAAGCTGTCAAGGCTTGGGGCTTGCACCCTCGGAAGCAATGGTCTGAGCTGTATGTTAGACCCTTTTAGCCACAGCTGGAGGGGCTAGCCTACAGGGCACCAAGTTCCAAGGCTGCACAAAACAAAAGGGTGCCTTGAGCCTGGCAACCGTTTTTCCGTCCTAGGTCTCCATGCCTGTGATAGGAGGGGCTGCTGTGAATTTCTCTGACGTGCCTTGGAGACATTTTTCCCATTGTCTTGATGATTAACACTTGGCTTCATGTTGCTTATGCAAATTATTGCAACTGGTTTGAATTTCTCCCCAGAAAAGGGGTTTTCTTTTCTCTTTTTTTTTTTTTTTTGGCTTTTTAAATAAATTTCTTTTTATTTATTTTTTTAATTGCATTTATTTATTTATTTTTTTTTTAATTTTATTATTATTATACTTTAAATTTTAGGGTACATGTGCACAATGTGCAGGTTTGTTACCTATGTATACATGTGCCATGTTGGTGGAGGGATAGCATTAGGAGATATACCTAATGCTAAATGACGAGTTAAGGGGTTTTCTTTTCTATCGCATTGTCAGGCTGCAAATTTTCCAAACTTTTATGCTCCACTTCCTCTTGAATGCTTTGCTGCTTAGAAATTTCTTCCACCAGATACCCTAAATCATCTCTCTCAAGTTCAAAGTTCCACAGATCTCTAGGGCAGGGGCAAACTGCTACCAGTCACTTTGCATAGCAAGAAGAACCTTTACTCCAGTTCCCAACAAGTTCCTCATCTTCATCTGAGATGACCTCAGCCTGGACCTTATTGTCCATATTATTATCAGCATTTTGGTCAAAGCCGTTCAACAAAGTCTCTACGAAGTTCCAAACTTTCCCACATCTTCCTGTCTTCTCAGTCCTCCAAGCCTCTAGGAAGTTCCAAACTTTCCCACATTTTTGTTTCTTCTTCTGAGCCTTCCAAACTGTTCCACCCTCTGCCTGTTACCCAGTTGCAAAGTTGCTTCCACATTTTCGGATATCTTTACAGCTGTACCCCACATCCCGGTATCAATTTACTATATTAGTCTGTTCTCATATTGCTAATAATGACACACCTGAGACTGGACAATTTATAAAGGAAAGAGGTTTAATTGACTTACAGTTTGGCATTGCTGGCAAGGCCTCAGGAAACTTACAATTATGGTGGAAGGGGAAAGAAACATGTCATTCTTCACATGGTGGCATTAAGGAAAAGTGCTGAGCAAAAAGAGGAAAAGCCCATCAGATCTCATCAGCGCTCACTCACTATCATGAGAATAGCCGTGTGGGGGTAACCAGCCCCATGATTCAATTACCTTTCACCAGGTCCCTCCTATGACACATGGGGATTATGGGAACTACAATTTAAGATGACATTTGGGTGAGAACACAGACAAACCATATCACTGTACTAATCTATTTTCAATCTCAACAATTGTTTTATCAGCTGATTAACTCTTGCATTGATTAACAATTTTACCTAATACATTTTATCTCAAAAATTCCATTTTCTGTAGAAAAATAGATTTCTAATTTCTTTATCAAAACTCTATTTTCTGTAGAAAACAGAATTCTAATTTCTGTATCAAATGGGCCTGTTTATTTTATTTCCCAGCGATAATTTTTGGCACCCTCCTCAGTTTGTTTTAACATATTAAACCTACCTATTTTATATTCTGGGGACTATCATATTTTCTTGCTTTGTGGATCTGATTCTAAAACTTCTTTTTTACTTATTTGACTTGCTTATTGTACTTTTTGCTTTAGTGGTTTATGATTTTAAGACAGTGTGATTGTATTAATTGGAACTTTATCTTTGGGAACCATTTAAGAACTGGCTATAAAAAAGTGTTCCTCTAGAGAAAAAGTGTTACCTCTGCCAGATATCTGCTATCTCAGGGACACTTTATTACTTTGATTGGTTTTTTAAGACAATGCATTAGAAGCAATTATATCTCCAAATAAATATGAAAGTCTTGTTAACAATTTCTGGTGATTGTTTTTCTTTCTTTTTTTCTCTTCTAAACGTCAAGTTCAAGACAGTCTTGCATCTCCATCTCTGATATGGTTTAGATATTTGTCCCCATTAAATCTCATGTTGAAATGTTATTCCAGTGTGGGAGGCGGGGCTTAGTGGGAGGTATTGGATCATGGCAGTGGATCTTTCATCAATGGCTTACCACCATCCCCTTGGTGATGAGTGGGTTCTTGCTCTGGTAGTCCAAGAGAAATCTAGTTGTTTAAAAGAGTGTGACACCTCCCACATTCTCTCTTTTCTTCCTGCTCTTGCTATATGATGCACCTGCCGCCCCTTCACCTTCCACCACAATTGGAAACTTCCCGAGGCCTCACCAGGAGCGGATGCTGGAGCCGTGCCTGTATAGCCTGCAGAACCATGAGCCAACTAAACCTGTTTTCTTCACAAATTGCCCAGTCTTAGGTATTTTTTAATAGCAATGCAATAATAAACTAATACAATGTCCCTCTTCATTTTAAAAGGATTGTAGATTTATGCAGATTCTTCTATCTTATCTTCTGGGATTTCTGGAATATCAGATGTTTATTTCTATACCTCGAACATGCGGTTTCTTAAAGCCCAAGGAAAAGATAAATGTATCCAGGGAAAAGGCAATTTCAGTGGCTATGTGACATTACTGGAATCATAATTTTATATCATTTCTGACTCTGGTCTTGTGAAAATAATGTAACCCTTTAGATGGGTATGGATTTTCATGCATCACAGCCATCTTACATACTTGTCATTTCATCATGTTATCCCAATCCTGTAAATTAGATAGTAAGAATATCACATTTAAAGGAAGAAAAACAAACACTTAAATAAATTAAATCTTTTTCAAGGTCAAAGTCATATTAATTAGAATAATGATTTTAAAGTCAGGCTTCTAAAAAGCAATTAAATGCATATTTTAAAAATTTAGAACTTCTTGTTTCTCTTTGTATTGTGGCCAAAGTCGCAGTATCTAGAATAGTGCTTTGAGCATATTAGAAACTCAAAACATTTATCAGATATAAAGTGATTAATGGGAATACTTATTAAGATAATCCAAATAGTTTTTCCTGAATTCAAATAAATTTACATAAATAATACAGAAATCCAACTTTTTTACAGATTATGAAGTTTTAGATAAATAATATCATGGAAACTATAAAAGTTGTATGTATATGACATTTAATGATGGGTATTGCTTTATATTATTTGTGGGCAGGGAAGTAAGAAATGGTTGAAATTACATCTGTTATAGTTGAATTGTGCATCTCCAAATCCACATATTGAAATTCCAACCATCACTATGTAATTATAAGGTGTTTGAAGAAGTTTCTAATTTAAATGAGGCTGTCAGAGTGTGGCTTTAATCCAATATGACTGGTGTCTTTATTAGAAAAAAGAGACCACAGTGATGTGCATATACAGAGAAATGACCAGGTAAGGATATAGCTAAGAGGCATATCTACAAGCCAGGGAGAGAAGTCTCCGGAGAAACTAACCCTGCCAACACTTTGATCTTGAACTTCCAACCTCTAGAACTGTAAAAAAAATGTTGTTGTTTAAGTCACTGTGTCATATTTTATTAGATTACTTGGAGATGGGGCCTTTTGGAGGTACTTGGGTTTAGATGAAGTCCTGAGGGTAGAGTCGTCATGATGAGTTCAGTGTCTTTTCAAAAAGAGACACAAGAGGTTTTGTTTCTTCTCTCCTTAACTTATGAGAATACAGAAAGAAGGCAAGTGTCTGCAAGCCGGGGACAGAGCCCTCACCAGGAAAACAAATCAGCCAGCACCTTCGTTTTGGACTTTCCAGCCTTGAGAGCTGTGAGAAATAAATTCCTGTTACTTAAGCAACAGTATTTTTTTAATGCAAGTATTTTGTTATGGCAACCTGAGATACTGTAAACAAGTAAACCCTGACCAAACCTAACATCCCTTCATTTAGAGAGTTTTCAAGTGTAGGTTCAGTAATTTATTTAAAATATTTGTTAAGTACCTACTCTATAAGGATATAATATTGAACACAACAGATACTGTCATTTTTCTTGTAGAATGTATAATGCATTAATAAATATAGCCCTATATAAATTGTTAATTACTTTAACTTACTTACAAAATTGTTATCACTATGATTGGATTTTGTAATTATTATATACTCTCATCAACTTCTTTCTTTTTTTTCTTTTTTTTTTTTGAGATGGAGTCTTGCTTTGTCACACAGTCTGGAATGCAGTGGTGTGATCTAGGCTCACTGCATCCTCCGCCTCCTGGGTTCCAACGATTCTCCTGCCTCAGCCTCCCAAGTAGCTAAGATTACAGGCACGTGCCACCACACCCAGCTAATTTTTGTATTTTTAGTAGAGACGTGGTTTTACCATATTGGCCAGGCTGGTCTCAAACTCCTGACCTCAGGTGATCTGCCCGCCTCTGCCTCCCAAAGTGCTGGGATTACAGGCATGAGCCACCTCACCTGGCCAATTCCCATCAGCTTCTAATGAGCAGAAGCAAAATGACCTCACAGACTGGCTTAGTTGAAAGTCCTTTGCATACTACAAAACTTCATTTGTCCCTCTATCCAGCATGCCATAGAGATTTCCAAAATGAAACAAATTTTATTAAAATAATTGTCTTAATAACAACCAGATTATCCAATGCAAGGTCACACACCCTGTATCAGGTACTTAACTAGGCTCTTTATATGGATTACTTATGTTAAATCCTCATCATAATCCAAGATTTAGTATTTGTATAATCTCCACTTTACAAACGGTAAAACTACTTAGAGAAATCAAATAATTGCCTAAGTTTGTATGGGTCGTAAATGGCGACTCTGGAATTCAAACTGGAGCAGTCAGATCCAGAGCCTATGATCTTAAGAATTCTATTATCCCTAAATTTTATGAACACTTAGTTGTTCATAAACAAAGAGACTAAAATATTGTTGGTAAATTCGAGATCATGAATATAAATTGTTCTATCCATAGTATTCTAGAAGCCATGTAAATGTCAATATTCTCTTTATTTGATATCTTGTATTTAAGTTTTGTTGTGGTAATTATACAATTTATATGATGTTTATTTTATTTCCTTTCATTTTGGAAAGCCATCCTCCCTTTTCTTCCCAAAATATCATGTTTCTCAAATACAATTTATCTACCTTGAGGTTCTGAACATAATACTCTGGGAATTAAATATCATAGGAGAAAGTTGTGATGTCCAGATTTGGTCGACTGAGCTCATACAGAAAGTCATAGCAATTCGCTGACAGGCAAAACACTATTACCTTAATTCAGTGTTATTGGTTTAGGCAGTTCAGATTATTTGCATGAAATTTTAAATCCTTGGAGACACAGGAGCGCCCTTAGAAAATACTGTTTAATCAATTCTTTTTGAGAGAAGTTTTTTAATTTTTTTTTCAAACTTCTTCACATGCTTCTGAACTCTGCAAAACATCCTAATAGAGTCTAAGATAACTTTGTTTCACCATTATTGTAAGGCTTTCTATCTGACAAGCTTAAAATAAATTTCAATATGGCAACATTCCATTTGAAAACTTGGAATGAAGTAGGTAGTAGACAATACACTGGACTTAGAATCAGAAAAATGAGGTTCTGGCAAAACCTGACTGTTAACTACCAGGTTACACTAGTCCTTAACTAGTCATGTGCACTAGTATTAGATGGGCCAGGACCAGGAGTCAGGGGTGGCTGTGGGGGACTCGTGTTGAGCATTGTGCTTGGTGCCACCCCCCAGCCACTCTGCTTACTTTCTCCCGGCCTGCGCAAGTACGCATTTACCCTTCACCTCCTGCCTTAGCTTTCAGTGGGTCCACGCAATCCTCTTGTGATTTATTTTTCTTCACTATTATTTAGAATAGCAATATTATAAATAATAGATTTAGAATATTTGGATTTCAGAGTAGTTTTTATGTATGTTAATTTAATTTTCTTAAAATTAATTCACAGATGCTTAGAATCAGGATCAATATCAGAATCCATTCATGGATTGACATCTGCTGGGTGCACAGGTGAATCAGAATTGCTCAGGAGATAGAAAAGTATTTTTGTTGTTGTTTGCCTGGTTGGAATTTTCTTTTCTTTTCTTTTCTTTTCTTTTTTATTTTTTTAGATTTAGAGACCTCCACTTACACTCCTACCTGAGATGAAATATTTTCTGTTCATCCTAGGAAACAATAACAGAAAATGTTCTTCAAGTTTTAAAGGATGAATGATTGGCTGGAGATGAGGAATGAGAAAACATTTGTATAAGCTTCCCTGCTTGTATACCGTGTTTGGTATAATAAGAATATTTTATCAGACTAGCAGTGATAATTGTGCATGCTGAGTAGGTGTGGAGATGTAGATTACTTCATGCTCCATACGTGACTTCAAAAGTCGCTTTTCGAATTACTCTCAGTGGTAACCTTGGCTAAATAAAGATTGTGACTCATATAGACAGCTTCCTGCTAATGTAAAGTTTTAAACAGTAGAAACTTCTTGCTATTAAAATACTTTTCATTTTTCTAAAGTTATTATGCTAGATCTCCTGCTTTCCCTTGCTGTTTATAAGTCCATTAAGATTTAAAGCAGAGTTGGACTAGTCTATAACTAATTCAAAATGTTCAGGCTTGACATCTCTGACAAAAGGCGTAGTATTCTTTGCTGTTCCTTTGGTTCAGCAAATAATACTTAAAGATGAAACAATCTGTTCCTTTGGTTCAGCAAATAATACTTAAAGATGAAACAATCTTGCAATGAAAATAAATATATGACTCAATATATCAAACAGGCCTTACAAAAATGCTGGATAATCTTTTAAATGTAAATCAAACAGAAACATAAATTTTTCCTTAAAATACAGATTTCTGAATTATGGAAGCAGAAGTTTTGCAAAATGCTTGATGGCCTTTGAAAGCCATTTTCAGCACTTGCTAACTGTTAGTTAATTTTTTTTCAAATGCAGTAATAATAAATTATAACAAAATTTTGGCATATCTGATTTGTGAAGAAATTAAAAAATGAAAAGGAAAAGAAAACCTACAGGCTGGGAGAGAGTAAAGGAGAAGGCAATTCCAACCTCAAAAAGAGCTTGGTCCCATCTGGTAAAATTTAGTGATTGAGTTTATTTTATTTCTCTAAAAAAAGGGTAGGAAGAGACCATTCATTGAAAGAATGGTGACAAATCTACATCATTTTCTTAATGACTACTTCCACATCACACTGCTTTATTTCCCAAACTTACTACCATTGCCTGATTCAATGTGGTCTAACTAGCAGTTATGGCAATCAATATGACTTTTGACCAACATTTTCTGAAATGAGGGTTTAGTAATACACCAACATTGTAGATATTTGAAAAAATAAAATAAATAAAACAAGGGAAAATACGGCAATTTCATTTCTTTGAATGCAGAGCTGTGGTCATAAAACCTTTCAAGAAAGTACAAACAGTGATAAAATATAACCAAAATAAAAATATTCTGGAAGACAGAGGAGTGTTGTAAAAATACCAAATTTTGTTAATCCATGTGAACTCCAGCAATTTCGTTTTCATTGTTTTCTTTTTGCCTTGGGTCATGCAGGGCTTCCAGAGCACCAGGCAGTTTGCTAGGTGTTATCATGGCTTTGCATGCTGGGGTTGGTAAGTTGTAGGAGAAAGCTCTTTGGACATCCTGTAGAGTTTATGTATTTGGCAAGCACAAATCATAACCAATGTCTCCAACAGATCTTCTCTAAAAACTTCTTTAAAAAGCATGTGGACACTGCTTACAAAGCATTCTTTAAAGCTTAGTATTTAGTTCATCTTTTTTACTCCCAGTATTTTAAGTGTGTAGATCTGTTTCAGATTCAACTGGGATTGCTATTATTACATTCAAGTCATGAATATTGAGGTCAGAGATATCTGTGTTTACAACCTGGCTCAGCTGATTACCAACTGTGTGGAAAGTTTCTTAATCCTTGTCAGTCACATGCACCTGCCCATATAACAATATTTATTTTTGCATTGTTGTCACTATTAATAGATAACAATGAAACTTTCTTTGCATAGTTGTCATTAGGGTTAAAAGTCTTTTCATTTATGGAAGCACTTCTCACCATGACTGATTTGTGGGAATATTTCCCCATACAGAAGCTATTTGTTTTATTCCAGAATCTTGATTAAAAGTGAAAGCAATGATTAAGCCATCAAAGGGGAAGGTTTTTGTTCATGCTACCAAACCTCAGAAAGGAAGTATCAAGGGAATTTCTGAGGATTCTGAACCTGGGGGTGAGATGATTTATTTTGAGTTTTCTGCCCCTTGGCTGTCGGTCATGCTCCATGAGGGTGGAAGACTGTTTGCATGACGGTGAGCACAGCCACAGATGCTGTGGTTTTTCACCTTCTAGCTTCATGAGTGAAGATGAAAATGGATCTACTCCACCGGTTCTAGTTTGAAAAACTCTCTAGAAGACCTCCAATGATGCTTAGTCTTAGACCATGTTAGGCCACTGAAAGATGTCATACTCTAGATCATACATCCACCCCTGTGGCCAAGAAGCTTATGATTGTTACCAGAGTGAGGAACACGAGGAGGATACTGGGTGAACTCGAACAACCACCACTGTGCTCTTTTAATTAAACCTGATGATCATGCCATTCTTATTCCAATATTTCTTGTTTGTTCTATCAGAAACTTCTGGGGTTACACAGTTGGAGAAGAGGATATGCACTAGCAATGATAACACTATCAGAAGTTCCTTGATGTGAAAAGAATGCTGAACTTAGGATGGTTTTTAGTTTGCTCAGCTACTTTCCCACTCAGAATTTTCTCATTCCTCTAAGTCCCTAAATCTTTAAAATGAGGATAATTGTCCTTGGACCATCTCACATGATTATTACAAAGATAGAAAAACAAATATGATGGATTTTTAAAGGTATCTGGTGCTATATAACAAATCACTTTAAAATTATGTGACTTCAAATGATGTGACTGTGGTTCATGCTACCAAACCACAGAAAGGAAACATTGAGGGAATTTCTGAGGACTCTGAAGCTGGGGATGAGATGATTTATTCTGAGTTTGCTGCCCCTTGTCTGTTAGTCACATTCCACGAAGGTGGAAAGCTGTACCATATATGCAGCCATGCCACACATGCAGCTTCACTGCACACATGCAGGTTTGGCAGACATGCAGCTATACCTGACATACAGCTGTGCCACACATGCAGCTATACCACACATGTGATGGAAATAATGTATTGTCTTTGACATGATCTATAGGCCAGGAATTTGATGGGGCGTGACCATGCATTTCTGGCTTCAGATCTCCCATGAGGATACAGGCAGACCATGTGGTGCAAGGGTGCTGTCATCTTGAAATCTTCCTCACTCCCATTGCTAGGGCTTGGACTGGGGGACTGTCATGTTATGTGTATTTTACTGCAGTTAATAAAATAAAAATGTATGTACTATTTTTTGAATGTTCATTCCTTCCAAAACTCATGGTGAAATCTGATTGCCATTGTGATGGTATTAAAAGGTGGAACATTTCAGAGGTGGCTAAACCATGGGGACCCTGTGGATGAGATTGGTGCAGTTATAAAAGTGTGAGCTTGGGCCTTCTTGCCATCTCTTACCCTTTGCCAGATGCTGGCAACTGATCTTGGACTTTCTAGGCTCCAGAATTGTGAGCCAATAGATTTCTGTTCATTATAAATTACCCAGTCTCAGGTATTTTGCTGTAATACCACAAAAAAAAAAACTGAAAGAGTGCGTTAGAAATTTTACTCATGGAGAATTGTGAGATTAATGGAGTCATGTAGGAAAAGGAGATCATAGTGCAATGCTAAAAGCAAGGGATCTGAAGACCTGAAGTCAGAGACCCTAAAATTGGACTTCCAGGCTTACTACTTACTTTGTGAATTTAGAAAAAAAATGTAATATCTCCAAACAATATTTCCTGCTCTGTAACATGAAGATGCTGTTATCTAATTCTGAGAGAGAGAGAGAGGATTAAATGAGATAGTACACTACAAAATGCTTAAAATAGCATTTCACACGTATTAAGTACTCAATATATTCTGTATATTTTTGTCAGAAAATAATAGCAGTATCTTTAAATGGGCATGATAGACCTTCTATGTTTCAGATGACTTATTTAAGAAAAATTAAGTCAAGAAGAAAAGTCTGTGACATTGGAATTTGTTCATTTAAGAATAAGAGCACTTTGAGCTCATTTTACTATATTTATTTTTCAAATGTGCTGACTTTTATTTTTAACATGATGCTTTGTCTATTTACTTTTTGCTTCCTCAGCTTTGTAGCATGAGCAGACACGAATGCCTGAGGTGGCAACATCTATACTGCACATGCAGCTGTGCCATACATGCAGCTGTATCACACACGCAGCTTAACTGCACACATGCAGGTAGACCACACATGTAGCTGTACCACACATACAGCTGCATCACACATGCAGCTTAACTGCACAAATCCAGGTATACCAGACATGCAGCTGTACCACACATGCACCCATATCACACATGCAGCTTAACTGCACAAGTGCAGGTATACCAGGCATGCAGCTGTGCCATACATGCACCCATATCACACATGCAGCTTAACTGCAGACTCGCAGGTATACCAGACATGCAACTGTACCAAACATGCACCCATATCACACATGCAGCTTAACTGCAGACATGCAGGTATATCAGACATGCAACTGTACCAAACATGCACCCATATCACACATGCAGCTTAACTGCAGACATGCAGGTATATCAGACATGCAGCTGTGCCATACATGAAGCCATATCACACATGCAGCTTAACTGCACAAACGCAGGTATATCAGACATGCAGCTGTACCACACATGTTGCTATGCCACACATGCAGCTTCACTGTACACATGGAGGTATACCAGACATGCTGCTGTACCACACATACAGCTGCATCACACATGCAGCTGTACCACACATGCAGCTTAACTGCAAACTTGCAGGTATATCAGACATGCAGCTGTACCACACATGCACCCATATCACACATGCAGCTTAACTGCAGACATGCAGGTATACCAGACATGCAGCTGTGCCATACATGCAGGTATACCAGACATGCAGCTGTGCCATACATGCAGCTATGCCACACATGCAGCTTAACTGCAGACATGCAGGTATACCAGACATGCAGCGGTGCCATACATGCACCCAGATCACACATGCAGCTTAACTGCAGACATGCAGGTATACCAGACATGCAGTGGTGCCATACATGCAGCCATATCACACATGCAGCTTAACTGCAGACTTGCAGGTATACCAGACATGCAGCTGTGCCATACATGCAGCTATGCCACACATGCAGCTTAACTGCAGACATGCAGGTATACCAGACATGCAGCGGTGCCATACATGCACCCATATCACACATGCAGCTTAACTGCACACATGAAGGTATGCCAGACATGCTGCTGTATCCCACATGCTGCTATGCCACACATGCAGCTTCACTGTACACATGGAGGTATACCAGACGTGCAGCTGTATCCCACATGCAACTATACCATACATGCAGATTCCTTCACAGAAGGAAGTGAGAACACTTTAGGAAGCATTATGCTGTATTTTGTTAGCATGCTGGCCTTCTGTTCTCAAAAGTGTCTATTTTTTATGTTATAAATACAATAGACCCATCCAATTAATTCCATACAGCTTCCTGAAGTGCACCTGGTTAAACATTTACTACTAGACCTTCTTACCTCTAACTTTCTTTGTAATTTTTATCATAAATATTTACTATTTTCACTTGAAATTTACTAACAGTTGTTTAAGGTGATGGTGATGTCCTATTTTATAGTTTTGATATTTTAATTTTTAGCCAAATATAGACAGCACTATATTATCTCCAAAAAAAATAGTACTGATTTAGCAAACATTAACCCTCTTCTAACACTGCAATGCTATTCTTGATTTTCTTCTATATTTTTACTACTAAAAAAGATCAAAATATAACTGTAGAATATTTAATTTATATCACCAAACCATCAGGCATTATTGAATAGAAGATCTCTTAAAAACTTTTCTAAGTCAAATAGTTTTCATGTGATGTTATGAAAAGAAATGCTGGTTTGTTAATCATGTCGGAACACAATAGGAGACAGGTGGGGAACTTCGCTTTTTTAATTTTTAATCCTCAAATCTATTTTAACCTAGAATATTTTGATTACATAAAGTGCCAAGCTATCATTCCAATAGTACTCTTAGTTAAATATATATTTTAAATCCTCAAAATATCTCTAAAAGTTTTTAGGAGTCTCAAAGATTAATTATGTGAGAATTACATAGCATGTGGGTTCTTTATTAAGAAAGATTTATTGTTTATATCCTGTCTCTGGGAGCACTGTATCTTTTAACTAAACAATATTCCTTGATTTTGCTGAAATTAGACTTTCTAAATATAGTGATCATTCTTTATAAATCTAAATTCCAGTTTGTCTTTGGATCCTAAGCTTGCAACTCATTATTTAATACTGAGCTTCTTAATGCTACATTTGAAATAAGCAACAGATTCTCCTGTAGAGAAATGATATTTCCCCTACAGAAAATTAACTCATTAGGTGGAGTAGAATGTCTCTTAAGGCCATGGAGTGAGGAAGGGAGATAGGTGAAAAAGGTGACAGGAGATATTATTTTAGCTATTTTGCAACAATTTTAAAATTATATTTTCCAATACTTTAAAGCAATTTTTATCTCAGCTTCAGAAGCATATTAAAACAATTCATATTTCAATAAAAGGCAAACATTTATATGGTGATTTCTGAAATGTAATATAAAATGCATTTCTTTAACATGGCATTTTGACATAAGGGAACTTGCAAAAATATAAATCAAAGCCGTCTAGCAAATATTAATTTTAGATCCTACTTTACCTTCTCTGAGCACTCTTGATAGATATGATCAATTGAAGGCTGTATCAGCCTAACTTGGTGATTTGCATCTAGTGTGACACTTTCATGTTTTATTCATCTGCTTCAAATTGAATTATTTTTGCTAAAATTATTTTGCTGCTTTATGTTTTTCTAGTGTTCTGAGATACAATAGATATAGTTCCACAGGCCTCTGAAAATAATGGACAAAATAGCATGTTACGTAGAGTTCATTATAAGCAATAAGTGGTAAATAAATACTTCCAAACAGAAAAATGAAACGCTCTTACCTCAGCAAAGACTTCCAAGGCATAGATTTTTGTTTAAATGCCATATGATTTTGAGCCTTTATGGTTTAGTTTGTGCACATATAATAGTGTGTTTGTGCAGTTTAGAGATCAACTTGTTCAACACTCATTCCACAAATGTGGTGAGTGAGTTGGGTGCTGCATGACAAGAGAAGTTGATTTCACAACATCATTACGCCTTGTATGTGCAGCTCTAGGCATTGAATAAAAACAAGTGGGAAACTGAAAATTGGACAAACTCAATTCAATCGATTTAGACAATTCAGAGTACCCTTAACATCCACTCTCAACGATTATCCCTTGCTAGTGGAAACCAGCTCTCTTTCTCTGTCTAATGAAGTCTCTCATATTACTCAGAGGCTATATAATGAGGCCATATATACCTCACCTGGGGTAATTATCATGAAAAGAGTAATAATTCTCTTTTTGCAATATATTTTTCTTCTCTCTTTTGCTCCACATTTGTAAATACTGTCAGATCTCAGCATGACCCTAGAACATATACACAACTTCTGACCCAGAAAGGAAGAAAGCTAACGCCAAAAGTCTTCCTCTCTCTCTCTCTCTCTCCCTCTGTCATAACATATTATATGATACCAATACCAATGTTTCCTTGTATGTAAAATAGACACACACACACACACACACACACACACACACACAGCAGAACTTGGGGAATAGGTATACCAGTGGGCTCCAAGTGTTCTATACCAATGAACAAGAAACATGATTTCAGATTAGGTCAATTTATAAACAAGGATGTTTTTATTAGAGATAAGAGTTTCAATATGCAAGTTCAAACATGTTCTCACTTTTTGGTTGAAATCTAGACTCTCAGGTGACACTTTTTTGTAAGGTTGAGATGTCAGATATCCTTGCTTTATTGTGGAGTAATAAACACAAAGCTTTCAGGAAATAGGTGAGATTCCGCAAGCACCCAGTAACTATGGCCCTGAGAGGATACAGGCAGCATTTCTTTCACAGAGGTAGTAAGAAATACATCCGTGAGTAGAAAAGCAGTGCCCTCAGAAGCACTATAGTATTCATCCTCTGTAGGTCCTAAGACACTCACAGTATTGCTATTGAAATAGCTTCCCTAATTCCAGTGATGACAATGTTAACTGCAAGTCTCAGAGAATAAATCCTCAGCTGCCTCAGACAAAATCCAACTGATATTATGAAGGAGAGAGGGCTAAAGATGTAATTGTTTGATTTTGGTGTGGGTATTTAATCTATGCAACCTTTTAGAACTGAAATAGATGAGGAGACTTGAGTCATCCTGGTTTCTCAGTGATTTCCAGACTTACTGCCCTGCTTCTGCTACACTGGGACCTCTCCCTCAGTGCATACTATGGCTTCATGGAAAGACTTTTGGAATCAGTTTGTCTAGAAAAAAATATTGAGCTGGCTTTTTAAAACTACTTTTTAAAAATTTTAATCAGCAAATAAAAATTGAGTATTGTGATATGTGACATGATGCTTTAGCACATGTATACCTTATGGAATGTCTACATCAAGGGAACTTGTGTGCATTATTTTCTTAGATACATTTATTTTGTGGCGAAAACACATAAAATCCACTCTCTTAGCATTTTTTAAGTATATCACACAATGTTATTAACTCTAGTCACCACGTGGTACAATAGATCTTCTGAACTTATTCCTCCTATCTTACTAAGATTTTATACTCTGTGATCAATATCCCCCCACTCCAGCTCTTCACTGCCCCCAGCCTCAGGTATCCACCATGTACCCTCTGCTGGTGTGAATTTGACTTAGATACCACATATAAGTGACATCATGCAGTATTTGTCTTCTGTGCCTGACTTACTTCATTTAACATAATGTCCTCAAGAATTATCATGTCGCTGCAAGTGACTCATGCCTGTTAGAATGGCTATTACCAAAAAGATGGAAGATAACAAGTGTTGGCAAGAAAGTGAAGTAAAGGGAACCTATGTACACTCTTGGTTGGAACGTAAATTAGCACAGCCACTATGGGAAACAGTATGGGGCTCCCTCAAGAAATTAAAAGCATAAAACTACCATATGATCCAGCATTCTCACTTTTTGGTATATATTCAAAGGAAACAAAATCAATATGCCAAAGAAATATCTACAATCCAATGTTCATTGTGCCATTACTCAACAACAGCCAAGATATGAAATCAACTTAAGCGTTCATCAATGGATGAATAAAAGGAAAGTGTGGCATATAGACACAATGGGATACTTATTATTAGCCTCAAAAAAAGGAAATCCTCCCATGAACCTCATTTTCTAATAGTTCTGTGCAGTATGCCGACGCTTGTGAAACAATGTAGCAATATAGACTCTACACTGTTTGACACTGTCCCCACCCAAATCTCACGTGAAATTGTAATCCCCAATGTTGCGAGAGGGACCTGGTGGGAAGTGATTGGATCATTGAGTCAGATTTTTCCCTTGCTGTTCTCCTGATAGTGAGTGAGTTCTCAGGAGATCCGGTTGTTTGAAAGTGTGTGGCGCTTCCCCCTTTGCTCTGTCTCTTCTACCACCATGTGAAGATTTGCTTTCTTCTCCTTCATCCTCCTGCCATGATTGTAAGTTTCCTGACTTACATGGGCTCCCCAGCCATGCCTCTTGTACAGCCTGTGGAACTGTAAGTCAATTAAACCTCTTTTCTTTATAAATTGCCCAGTCTCTGGTAGTTCTTTATTATTATTATTATTATTATTATTATTATTTTAATTTACATTAAGTTCCAGGATACAAGTGCAGAACGTGTAGATTTGTTACATATGTCTACGTGTGCCATGGTGGTTTGCTGCACCTATCAACACATCTGCTAGGTTTTAAGGCCTTCATGCATTAGCTATTTGTCCTAATGCTCTCCCTCTTCTCGCTTCCCACCCCCCGACTGGCCCATTTGTGTTGTTCCTGCCCCTGTGTCCATGTGTTCTCATTGTTCAACTCCCACTTATGAGTGAGAACATGTGGTGTTTAGTTTTCTGTTCCTGTGTTAGTTTGCTGAAGATGATGGCTTCCAGCTTCATCCATGTCCTTGCAAATGACATAATCTCATTCCTTTTTTATGGCTGCATAGTATTCCATGGTGTATATACCACATTTTCTTTATCCAGTCTATCATTGATGGGCATTTGGGTTGGTCCCATGTCTTTGCTATTGTAAATAGTGCTGCAATAAACATACGTGTCCATGTGTCTTTATAGTAGAATGATTTACATACTTTTGGTTATATAAATTTGACCCAGTAATAAGATTGCTGGGTCAAATGGTATTTCTGGTTCTAGATCCTTGAGGAATCACCACACTGTCTTCCACAATGGTTGAGCTAATTTACATTTCCACCAACAGTGTAAAAGCATTCCTATTTCTCCACATCTTTGCCAGCATCTATTGTTTCTTGACTTTTTAATAATCGCCATTCTGGCTACTGTGAAATGGCATCTCAGTGTGGTTTTGATTTGCATTTCTCTAATGATCAGTAATGTTGTGCTTTTTTTCACATTTGTTGGCCATGTAAATGTCTTCTTTTGATAAGTGTCTGTTCATATCCATTCATATCCTTTGCCCATTTTGTGATGGGGTTACTTTTTTTTCTTGTAAATTTGTTTAAGTTCCTTGTAGATTTTGGATATTAGACCTTTGTCAGATGGGGAGATTGCAAAAATTTTCTCCCGTTCTGTAAGTTGCCTGTTCACTCTGATGACAGTTTCTTTTGTTATGCAGAAGCTCTTTAGTTTAATTAGATCCCATTTGTCAATTTTCACTTTTGTTACAATTGCTTTTGGCATTTTTGTCATAAAGTCTTTGCCCATGCCTATGTCCTGAATGGTATTGCCTAGGTTTTCTTCTAGGATTTTTATGTTTTTGGGTTTTACATTTAAGTCTTTAATCCATCTTGAGTTAATTTTTGTATCAGGTGGAAGGAAGGGGTCCATTCTCAGTTTTCTGCATGTAGCTAGCCAGCCCTGTGGCCCAGAAGCTGAAGATTGTTACCAGAATGAAGAACATAAGGAGGATACCGAGTGAACTTGCACAACCATAACTGTGCTCTTTTAATGAAACCTGATGACTATGCCATTCTTACTTCCAATAGTTCTTGTTTGTTCTGACAAATTCCTGGGGTTACACAAATGGAGCAGTGGATATGCACTAGCAATGACAACTCTATCAGAAGATCATTAATGTGAAAACAACATTGAACTTAGAATGGCCTTTAGTTTGCTCAGCTACTTTACAACTCAAAATTTTATCATTCTTCTAAGTCCCTAAATCTTTAAAATGAAGATAATTGTTCTTAGATCATCTCTTATGTGGCCCAAGACAATTCTTTTTCCAGTGTGGCCTAGGGAAGCCAAAAGATTGGACACCCTTGCAAAAGTAATCATTCAACTGATGTCTTTTTAATTTCAATTGCTCAAGTCTACTCAGTTATGTTTAAAAAAACTTTTTTTTTTTTTTTGCTAAGAATATCCAGTGTGTGTCTGATTCCTGCATTGAACTCTGTTTGATAAAGCTATTTACAAAGGTTGGCAGATCCAGACCCAATCTTCTGATATATATATATATATATATATATATATATATATATATGAAGATTTTATATATGTATAATATTTTGTCTCACTATGTTGGCATGGAGAACAACAAAAATTATCCATAACTAAGCAGCCATGAACAATATTTTCCTATATTCTTTATTTTGGAGATCACAGATACTTCCTTAGATGACTGATAATGGAGTACAAATGAGTACTGTGTGACTTTACCAGAGGGTGACTTATATTTTAGCAATTTCCTAAATTACCAGAAGCAATGGGGCATCCACTGAGTCATCACTTTTACATGTCTAAACACGAAGCCCATTCGGGTGACTGCCTGACTTACTTAAAAGCAAGCCAATCTCTTTAATAGCCAGTAAAACTTAGACTCAAAAACCAGAGGATCAGATCATTTATTGAGGCTATATTTCTTGATATTGAGTGACTGATTATTTAGTAGAAATTTGAACTGTGTGACATAAAACATTAATACATTCTTAAAATATCAAATATGATTTAGTAACGTAAACTAAATGTGAAAGCTTACTGTGGAACTAAAAATAGATTTAAATGGTTTGAGGAAGCACTTTGGTCCAGAAGAAGATGAATTGGAGTGGTTTCTAAGAACTGAATTAGTAAGCCTGGGGTTTTGGGTTGTTTACATTGGCCAGATCTAACATTACAGACAATTTGGTACTTGAAGTTAGTGATTTCAACAGCAAAGTGAGAAATGAAAATGATGTTTTAAGTAGAAAATAACCAAAGAGAGGAAAATAGAGTAAAGGAAGAAGGAGCTAAAGGGAGATAGATGAGCTACTCCAGATGGTTGAGTCTTGACCAGGAGAGATAGGTCAAGTATGAGCCACAATTTGGAGAAGGCAGCATTTTAATGAACTCCATGGAGAAAGAAGGGGATATCTCGCATAAGGAATATGAGGCTCTTCCTGCCAGTCTTCAGCGTGTGCGGTTCTTACTGCCCTCACTGGGCACTCATTTTTATGCAGTGCCTCAGTGGGTGAGTAGGTCTTCTCAGAAATTGCTGTGAAGCCAATGAGAACATCAAACTTGAATTATCCTCTCAGGGTTTATTTTTCTGCTAGTTAGAGACTGAATTCCCTATAATTTAACTACTGAGTAAGCACTATTTGATAAAGAAAGGAGTTAATTTGGCAAGAAGATCAGGTTCATTGAAATACTGAGTTTTTCTATTACACTGTAGAGAGAAATTACATGGAATGAACAACAACAACAGAAAATGTACCAACCCTGAGATAATGGCTGCTACGTTTCTGGTTGCACTAATACTGCTAATATATGTGGTGGATTCCTAAGTGTCACCTTGTTATGCAAATATGTTTCCTAGGGGCAATAGCTGGAGAATTCCAGGGCAGCAGTCCATATAGACAGGATGATTTTTGGAATTAATGAGTTTAATAATATAATGTTTGCTTCATATTTGTTTCCAAGAAAGATCAGTAAGGTTTAAAACCTTTTAATAAGCTGTATTACTATGTTGACAATGTAGAAATGAGATGCTTTAATATGTATTTAGGTTACGCTGGCAGAGATGTTTCTAAATTTATATTTATATGTGCATGCGATTATACTTACCAATAAATGTAGAGTTAAAATCACTGTTGAACAACTCTTTTTGTGTATTTTTACTTTCTCTATTTATAATTGAATGACATCTAAATGGAATAGAGAGAGAATAGCCATGGTGACAGAGCGCTTCCTTGCTGATTTAAAGAGGAAAGAGAATCATATTTATAATCTTTGGTGGAAAGTTGTGGGAAGAATTGAGTTTTCCATTGCTACACTTCCAAAAATAGATTATGTTGCGTACTCTGTTTATTTTATCCTTTTGATAATGCACATTCCTAGTCTGAAAAAATTTTCAACATTATCATCCTGAGGTTTAAGTCATCTTCTACGATATGGTAGACACAAGGAAATTAATGAATATTTAAGTAATTTTCATATACTGAACATGTCCCAGAGAGTACATTTTATCTCAGAAAAGAACAGTAATATCTCCTGAGAAATTTAAACATTATTTCCATGAAGCAGTTAAAGTCAAGTCTTATAAAATAGAGCCAAGTATAGTATTTGGCATATAGAATGTGCTGAGTTAGTGTTTACATTAATTCATGGGAAAGAATATCATGACTGTCATTTAATCAAACACCCTTTAATATAAAAGGTATATGATTATTAACACAAATTCACTCAAGCAATTGATTTCATCTTAGCTTACCAGCCTGGATCAGGTGTGGAACCTATCTTTTACTTTATATTTAGCATCAATGAATGTTTGTGTTACACACATTCCTGAAAACCCTCCTATAGTTTTATTCTGTGATACTTTAGCAGCACAATTTAGGTGTTCTAAAAGACATTAATGGACATATTTGTTATTGGTTAAATACAAAAAACATTAGGATGGAAATGGATTGCTCATATGAGTTATAATACAAAAATGTCCTTGTGAATATAAAAAAATTGGTTGCAAAGGTCCACAGTGTTTCCCTTCTTCTAAAACCGATAATGCCAATCACTTCAAGAATAAATACATGTGCCATTGTTAAATTCAAGATCCTCTTTCAACTCATCCAGAATTCTCTTTCCAGCTTATTTTTTATGAACTGCGGTATTGCACACAGTCAAAGTCACAAGAAATATTCTCAAGTGAATCTGGAATCTACTGTGCTCATGTTAATTTTTCTACCCTAGCAAGCCTCCGATTCCACTGAAGTCCTAATCATTCAAGACCCAGGAGAAATGCTTTCTGCCATTGCAGATTACCATGTGAAGTTGGAAATTTCCTATGAATAAAATTATTTCATTACTCTTTTGTGTCTGACCCCTTTTGCACAGAATACTGCTTTTGAGACTCATGAATGGTGTTGCCTGTGCCAACGGTGCGGTTTTTTTTTTTTTTTTTTTTTTGGTGACAGAGTCTCACTCTGCTACCCAGGCTGAAGTGCATGGAGTGTAATGGTGCAACCTCAGCTCACTGTAACCTCTGCCTCCCAGGTTCAAGTGATTCTCCCTCCTCAGCCTCTCTAGTAGCTGGGATTAAGGCGTGCGCCACTACACCCTGCTGATTTTTGTATTTTTAGTAGAGATGGGGTTTCATCATGTTGGCCAGGCTGGTCTTAAACTGCTGACCTCAAGTGAGCCACCTGCCTCGACCTCCCAAAGTGCTGGGATTACAGGTGTGTGTTTCTTCTTATTGCTTAATATTGCATTTTGTAGATAGACCACAATTCATTTATTCATTCATCTGGTGATGGGCATTTGGATTATTTCTACTTTTGTTATTATGAATAAAGTTACTAGGAACATCCATGTGAAGTCTTCGTGAAAGGAGCATTTTCAATTTTTCTGGGTAAATATCTAGAAGTGAAATTGCAGCATCTTATAGAAAGTGTACAGTTTTCTTTAGAAGACACTGGCACAGTGTTTTCCACAGTAGTTACACCATTTAACACTGTCACCAGCAATCAATGAGAGTTTTGAACTGACACTTGTGTTGCCAGGTTTTTCAAGTTTAGTCCTTCTATGGTGGGTAGTGAGTGGAATCTCAATGTGGTGATTTCTTTCATTTATTTGCTAACTAATTAGGCTGAGAATCTTTCTTCTTTGATGAATATCTGTTCAAGTCTTTTGCCCATTTATTATTATTATTACTATTATTTGAAATAGAGTCTCACTGTATCACCCAGGCTGGGGTGCAGTGGCGCGATCTCAGCTCACTACAACGTCTGCCTCCCAGGTTCAAGGGTTTCTCCTGCCTCAGTCTCCCGAGTAGCTGGGATTACAGGCATGCTCCACCACGCCTGGCTAATTTTTGTATTTTTAGTAAGGAAAGTGTATCACCCTGCTGGCCAGGCTGGTCTCAAGCTCCTGACCTCAAGTGATCCACTTGCCCCGGCCTCCCAAAGTGCTAGAATTACAGGTGTGAGCCACCAGGACTGGCCTCTTTTGCCGATTTTTAAGTTGGATTGCTTGTCTTCTTATTCTGTTGTAAGGGTTCTTTATATTCTGGCTGTGAGTTCTTTGTCAAGTATATGTATTGTGAATACTTTTTTCCC